>NC_000005.10:177566671-177717117 GCF_000001405.40 Homo sapiens | reverse complement strand
ACTTTACTTTTAAAATATAATTTCTTTGGTACGATTTAGCTCATGCCTGTAATCCTAGCATTTTGGGAGGCCAAAGAGGGAGAATTGCTTGAGCCCAGAAGTTTGAGACCAGACTCTACACACACACACACACACACACACACACACACACACTAAGCGGGAATGGTGGCATGCTACTGTGGCCTCAGCTACCTGGGAGGCTGAGGTTGGAGGATCATTTGGACCCAGGAGGTGGAGGCTGCAGTGAACCATGATTGTGCCACTGTACTCCAGCCTGGGTGACAGAGCAAGACCCTGTCTCACAAAAGAAAAAGAAGAGATCATCTATTAGTCCTCTTGATTTTTGTTAAAATGTGTTATGTGATAGTTGATAAGCTTTATGCATATGTCAATCTGTGGCCATTTAATTTTGGGCTAAGGACTTGTTCTATTATAGCACAGTAATCATTTTACTAAATAGTGACTATTTGTCATTAAAAACAATATATTTAGTTTTAATACAGTTGAATACTCACAAATTTCTGGGGGAACTTGGTCAGGACATTTCAACTGAGAATTGTCAGGCACCTTCTCGCTGATAGGCATGCTGCTCGGTGGTGCAGCTCATAAGCAGACAACCCCCTTCATGTAATTTAGTAGGAAAATGACAGAAATACTTGTGTAACTATAAAGTAAAGCAGAATTCTGGTTATTGAATCACAGCACCTACTGAAAGAAGTTCTCAAGTTCTGATTGAGTTCTAAAATTCTTTTGAAGATTGGAATTCTTCATATGTAAGTAAAAACAATTTCTGATGACCCATTTCTAGTCCATCTCCTAAAGAAGTATTTAATCTGGGCCATGCATGGTGGCTCACGCCTGTCATCCCAGCACTTTGGGAGGCTGGGGTGGGTGGATCATGAGGTCAAGAGATCAAGACCATCCTGGCCAACATGGTGAAACCCCATCTCTACTAAAAACACGAAAATTAGCTGAGCATGGTGGCACGTGCCTGTAGTCCCAGCTACTCGGGAGGCTGAGGCAGGAGAATCACTTGAACCTGGGAGGTGGGGGCTACAGTGAGCTAAGATTGCGCCACTGCACTCCAGCCTGGCAACAGAGCAAGACTCCATCTGAAAAAAAAAAAAAAAGTATTTAATCTAAGCTGGGCATGATGGCTCACTCCTGTAATCCCAGCACTTTTAGAGGCCAAGGTATGAGGGTTACTATAAACCAGGAGTTTGACACCAGCCTAGGCAACAATAGCAAGACCCCGTTTCTACAAAAAAAAATTTAAAAATTAGCTGCGCAGGAGGCTGAGTTGGGAGGATCACTTGAGCTTAGGAGTTAGAGGTTGTAGAAAGCTATGATCATACCACTGCACTCCAGGCTGGATGACAGTGGGCCCTGTCTCTAAAACACAAAAAAAACTAACAAAAAAAGTGTTTAATCCATAAGATGACCACATTTATAGGAGGCTCCCAGCAATCTTAGCCTGAAGCCATGAAGGAAGACGCAGTGTGAAGGCAAGTACAGGCTGGCCTCTGGCAGCTGAGGATCAGGACAGGATGTGGAGTGAACCTCCACATCAAAGCTTTATTGCTTGGATTGGAAAAAAAATTCCTATCTGTAGGTCAGCCTTAAAATACACCATTTCATAAAATATTGTCTTTCCCATATTTTGAGCCCATGCAATTTGTGCTACCTGAGGGAACAGTATTGTGTCCTTGATTTGGTGAGATCAGTAGCTTTCTTATCTTATTGAGTGACAGCTACAGAACTCAGAAACAGAAGCTGCATATTAAGCAAATTTACATCTTTCTTGTTATAATATTATTGTGTATAAGAAATAGAGATGGCCGGGTGCGGTGGCTCACGCCTGTAATCTCAGCACTTTGGGAGGCTGAGGCAGACGGATCACAAGGTCAGGAGTTTGAGACCAGCCTGGCCAACATGGTGAAACCCTGTCTCTACTAAAAATACAAAAGGCAATAAGAGGTTCTATGTGGACTTTGAAGGTCGTCTCTATCAATTTGAGGTTGGGAAGAACAGTTTTGTTGACATCCTTTAGCTGTGTTACAAGTACAATTTTGTTTTTTACTCAGGCAAAAGAAAATGTGTGTGTGTGTTAAATACAGTCAGCCCTCTTTATCTGTGGGTCCTGCATCCTTGCTTTCTACCAACCTCAGATCAAAAATATTCCAGAAAAAAAAGGATGGTTGCATCTGTACTGAATATGTACAAGCTTTTTTTCTTGTCATTCTTTATGCAATAAAGTATAACAACCATTTACGTTGCATTTCCATTGTATTAGGTATTGTGGGTAATCTAGAGATGATTTGAAGGATATTGGAGGGTGTGTCCAGGCTGCAGGCAAGTACTATGGCATTTTATGTCAGGGACACCTACAGATTTTTGTCTCCAGCCATGGTTCCTGTATAGTTTAACATTTCCACACGCTGAGGGTGTGATGGGTCTGAGTTGGGTTGGTCCCCCATGTTTGAGGAAGTGTGCCCATCATGATTGTACACCCTTGTTGTAAACTTCGGATATGTCTATTTTGATATTTAAAACATTTTCAGGTTAAGTCTGAAAAATGCCAAGATAGTAACAATATTTTAAAAGGGAATTCAGAAGTATTACTATAATAATAGAACTCATTATTAGAACATTCTAATAGTAGAAAAGGAAGTCTATTTATTTTATAAAATTGTCAGTTCAGCTTAAGATCTAATAGTCTTTTCCAATTAGCATCAACTTAATTGAGACTACCTCAAAAGAAGAATTTAACACTTATTTTTGTAGAAAAAAAGCAATTTTAAAATAGCCTGGGAAAACTTAGGTAAGTTTTCCTTAATCCTGACTCCTAATTTGTGGCTAGAAGTGGCAATGATATGAACATAAGTTGTGCTATTTGTTAATATATTGCTTTTCATAAATCAATCCCTTTTTTGTAATTAGGTAAAAAGAGAAGAGAAAGACATTCTTGATTTTGGTGACTAGAGTTGTAGATGCTGGAAGCTTTGCCACTAACATTGATGAACCAGATGCATGTCACCAGCCCATCACGGTGATTCTTAATGCCGTTAAGTATGAACATACAGTAAAATACTGTTGATAGAATACATCGGTCTTATGAAATGTTTTGGTTAAGGATTTTTTAAACGAATTTCACATTACACAACTGGCTTTACTAAATCTGAGTCTTGTATTTCTGAACAGGGCACCATGGGCCGGCACTGCCACGTTTTCCAAGGAACCTGCCAGAGCTCCTGCGGAAGCTGCTCCTCGGGCGATGGAGTCCCTTTGCTGCTAGGCCCTTCTTCAGTCACCACAGGATGCCTGCCATTCATGAACAGGAAGGAGAGGACGGGCTTTGAATAAAAAACAGGTAAGTTTCCAAACTGCTTTTTTTCATCAAGATTTCAATCTTGGCTGGGCAAAGTGGCTCACGCCTGTAATCTCAGCATTTTGGGAGGCCAAGGCAGGCAGATCATGAGGTCAGGAGATAGAGACCATCCTGGCCAACATCATCTCCTCAGCACCCAGCTCAGTCATTTAGACAAAGAAAATATGTAAGATGACCGAGCACGGTTGCTCACGCCTGTAATCCCAGCACTTTGGGAGGCTGAGGTGGGCGGATCACGAGGTCAGGAGATCGAGACCGTCCTGGCTAACACGGTGAAACCCCATCTCTACTAAAAATACAAAAAAAAAAAAATTAGCTGGGCATGGTGGCAGGCACCTCTAGTCCCAGCTACTCGGGAGGCTGAGGCAGGAGAATGACGTGAAGCCAGGAGGCGGAGCTTGCAGTGAGCTGAGATCGTGCTACTGCACTCCAGCCTAGGCAACAGAGCGAGACTCCTCAAAAAAAAAAAAAAGAAAAGAAAGAAAAAGAAAACACGTAAGAAACAGTTGCCAAAATAATTGAATACAGGATCTTCAACTGAGATTATTTTCTTTGTTAGGATCCAGGAAATATTTGTGAGGCCATTTGGACTTCAGTGTGAAATGGTGTTAAAAGATGAAGTCATTTATTCAAGAAGTAAACCTCTGCCACCTGGACTGTGCTCAGACATTTCATTGATTTTGTTTAATAAACATTTTCTGGCTTTGGGAGGTGTCTCTCTTGGTAGAGCACAGTGTCAAAGATGGACAAGATGGACACATAGTCCATTATTTGGTATTGTTTGTGTATGGGAGCGGACCACAAATTAATGTTTGGAGAACAATTTTGTCATAACACACTGTTGAGGCTCAGTTGTACAGAACTGGAAAAGTCTTTCAGCTTGGCACATGTCCTGATTCAGCCTTTGTTTAACATACATTCCAATCCGGATTCTATCTTCACTGGCTACAAAGACCACCTGATACGTGCACCACGACACAGGAGCTGCTGGAGAGGGGGTAGTGTTATCACCTCAAACCCACAGCCATATTTTTCAAAAGCCAGCTTAGAGAGAGGTGTACTGATAGCTGCATAGAGAACATGCAGTCCATCCATTCTTCCCAGTGATGTACATTTCTCAATCAGTAACCACGTGGTATACCAGCCTTGAGTGTCACATCTCCCAACCATACCAAATGGATCACCTAACTGGAGGTGGGGGGGGCCCCTCAGAAATGAGATTTCGTATTTACTGTAAAATTGCCTTATTTTTTCTTTTGAGGTGGAGTCTCACTCTGTTGCCTGGGCTGGAGTGCAATGGTGTGATCACTGCTCACTGCAACCTCCGCCTCCTGGGTTCAAGCAGTTCTCCTGCCTCAGCCTCCCAAGTAGCTGCAATTACAGGCGCATGCCACCACTCCCAGCAAATTTTTATATTTTTAGTGGAGACAGGGTTTCACCATGTTGGCCAGGCTGGTCTCAAACTCCTGACCTCAGGTGATCTGCCCACCTTGGCCTCCCAAAGTTCTGGGATTAAAGGTACGAGCCACCGCAACTGGCTGAGAATCTTTTTATTTGCTGATTTGTCTCTTGTGTATTTTCTTTGTTCAGATGTCTCTTCAGATCTTTTTCTCACTTTTAAATTGTTTTTTTAATTGTTAAGAATTTTCTGTCTAGTTTAGATATAAGCCCTTTATCAGACATGTGTTTTGCAAATATTTTCTCCTAGTCTGTGGCTTGTATTCTGTCTCTTAACAGTCATTTTATTTTTACTTTTGAAACTAAAGAAGAAGAATGGTCAGCTTTCCGTTATTCTTGTAACAGTAATGGCAGAACCAAGTCTGCTAATGCTACATTGAGCAAAGAAAGTCACCTGGTCAAGTCCAACATTAATGAAATGGGGTAGTACATGCAGGCGGCGTTGGGGTTGGGGAGGGAACAAATGCTTCTTGAGAGTAATATAATCTGCCATACCATCCAGGAACCTACAATGGCTATCTATTACCTTATTCTCTGGTTTGTTTAATGTTCAAATCTTTCCTAAAGATCCTTCAACTTTTCTGGAAGAATCTAATCTGATAACACCATCAAAAACACATTACTTCTTTTGGCATAATTTAAATTGTAAGACATCATTCACATTTATCAATGTTACATATATAAGAACTCACCCACCATATTCCTCCTTGAGGAATTACAGCATGTAATTCTATAACCATTTTTATAATCGTCTAACAATTTTATAATGGATTGGCTGCTATCAATTTTTTAAAAGTCATGGCTTCTCCAGTCATTTCTTGCTTATCAAAATTATTTCATGAGATGGGTCTATCCTTGTATATTTGAAAATGAGGTTTGCTTCCTTCTACTTAAAAAACAACTTGAACATACCTGTTTGGATCACATGGTCTTGTCCTGATAACTTGGAAGAGGTTGCTTCAGCATTATTCTTATTGTTGTGGTGGTTATTATTAACATTGTTTCATATTCCGTTTAAAAAATTAAAATTTTACACAAGACCAATGTCTTCTTTTCAATTCCAGTACAGTCTTCAGAAGTAACTAATGCTATTGGCTTTGTGCATTATAATTTCAGACCATTGTATATGTCTTTAGTTATATGTACAGTATACACACATATGTGTCATATTATTCCATTTTTTCTAGCATTAAACATTGCTATGGAAAACTCTCAGAAAAATATTTATTTGAACAGAACTTTTTCTTTTCTCAGATGTACCCTCCTTAGGAATCTTTCTTTGATCCTTGAAGTTTGGTAACAACTTTAAATATGTGTATCCCAGCTGGGAGCAGTGGCTCACACCTGTAATTTCAGCACTTTGGGAGGCCGAGGAGGGTGGATCACCTGAGGTCAGGAGTTTGCCTGGCCAACATGGTGAAACCCCGTCTTTACTGAAAATACAAAAAGTTAGCCAGGTGTGGTGGCTGGCACCTGTAATCCCAGCTACATGGGAGGCTGAGGCAGGAGAATCGCTTGAACCTATAGAGACAAGGTTTCACCATGTTGACCAGGCTGGTCTCGAACTCCTGACCTCAGGTGATCCACCCACCTCAGCCTCCCAAAATGCTGGGATTACAGGCATGAGCCATTGCACCCAGCCATACAGGAGCAAGTTTAAAAATTAAATATTTATTTGAATAACAAGCTTACATTGGAGCTGCAATGTTGGCAATCCAGATTTTGAACACGGATCACAAAAAGCATGCATAAAATCCTACTGGCCCAGAGAACAAAACACTGCTCAGAATTAGGTGAAATAGCTGCTACTGTTAAGAAAACAGGCCTGAAATCAATATACAAGATTTTAAAAAATGTATTGGCCAGATGCAGTGGCTCATTCCTGTAATTCCAGCACTTTGGGAGGCCAAGATAGGAGAATCACCTGAGGTCAGGAGTTCAAGACCAGCCTGGCCAACATGGTGAAACTCCGTCTCTACTAAAAATAAAAAATTAGCTGGGTGTGGTGACACATGCCTGTAGTCCCAGCTACCTGGGAGGCTGAGGCAGAATAATTTCTCGAACCCAGGAGGAGAAGGTTGCAGTGAGCCGAGATCATGCTATTGCACTCCAGCCTGGGCTACAGGTGAGACTCCGTCTCAGGGAAAAAAAAAAAAAGGTATTAAACACTACCATATACAGAACAATCTTTGTTATTGACTATATTTAAAAATCATTTTGCACAGTTAATTATATATTGCAAATGAGCATAATACATGAACTTCATTTTGGAAGGCAATTCCTTGTTACACTAAAAAACATCTAATTTCAGCTGGGCGCGGTGGCTCATGCCTGTAATTCCAGCACTTTGGGAGGCCAAGATAGGCAGATCAACTGAGGTCAGGAGTTGGAGACCAGCCTGCCGAACATGGCGAAAACCTGTCACTATAAAAATTAGCCGGGCATGGTGGCAGGTGCCTGCAGTCCCAGCTCCTTAGCGAGGCTGAGGCAGGAGAATCGCTTGAACCCGGGAGGCAGAGGTGGCAGTGAGCTGAGATTGTGCCACCGCACTCTGGCCCGAGCAACAAGAGCAAAACTTGGTCAAAAAAAAAAAAAAACAAAAAAAAAACCCAGCCGGGCGCAGTGGCTGACGCCTGTAATCCCAGCACTTTGGGAGGCCGAGGCGGGTGAATCACGAGGTCAGGAGTTTGAGACTAGCCTGGCAAACATGGTGAAACCCCATCTCTTCTAAAAATACAAAAAATTAGCTGGGTGTAGTGGCGGGCGCCTGTAATCCCAGCTATTCGGGAGGCTGAGGCAGGAGAATCGCTTGAACCTGGAAGGTGGAGGTTGCAATGAGCCGAGATCGCGCCATTGCACTCCAGCCCTGGCAACAGAGTGAGACTTCATCTCGGAAAAAAAAAAAAAAAAATCCTAATTACATCACATTGCAAATATCTCGTTTTTCCTGTCAATAAATAGTTAATAGTATTACTGTAAATATCAGGAAGACTACAAAAAAAAAAAAAAAAAAAGATTCCTTTTTGTCTTCAAAGTGTTTTTTACGCAGTGAAGCAGTTACCGTGTTGAACAGAATGCAGTACTAGAAAATGTCCTGGGTGTGAGATGCTCTTGAGTGACAAAACTAGGCTTTTCTTTCTTTTTTTTTTTTTTTTTTTTTTTTTTTTTTTTTTTTTTTGAGACGGAGTCTCACTCTCTCACCAGGCTGGGGTGCAGTGGCGCAGTCTCGGCTCATTGCAACCTCTGCCCCCCGGGTTCAAGTGATTCTCCTGCCCCAGCCTCCCGAGTCGCTGGGACTACAGGCACCCACCACCACTCCCGTCTAATTTTTTTGTGTTTTTAGTAGAGACGGGGTTTTACCATGTTGGCCAGAATGGTCTCGATCTCTTGACTTTGTGATCCACCTGCCTGGGCTTCCCAAAGTGCTGGGATTACAGGCGTGAGCCACTGAGCCCGGTCCAAGACTAGGCTTTTCAAATCAAAGACAAAGGAATCATGCAACCCTCTTACAACTGGGATACCATCCTGTGCCACTTGCCAATACCGTCTTTCCAGAAAACCATTCAAGACACTAAAAAAAGATCAGACTTATATGATAAACATACATAAAATGAAAAGACACCAACTGCTATTTGACACTACTATTGGTAATGCCTGTCATATGTGAAAGCACTTTTATTTTATTTTTTATTTTGAGACTGAGTTTCGCTCTTGTTGCCCAGGCTGGAGTGCAATGGCACGATCTCTGCTCACCGCAACCTCCGCCTCCCGGGTTCAAGCGATTCTCCTACTTCAGCCTCCCGAGTAGCTGGGATTACAGGCATGTGCCACCACGCCTGGCTAATTTTCTGTATTTTTAGTAGAGACAGAGTTTCTCCATGTTGCTCAGGCTGGTCTCAAACTCACAACCTCCGGTGATCTGCCTGCCTCGGCCTCCCATAGTGCTGGGATTACAGGCATGAGCCACCATGCCTGCCCATGAAAAAGAGAGCACCTCTGCTGCCTGGTCATATTCTGTACCTGTTCCCAAACCCTGAAACCAGTGATGTCAATGGCTGCGTGGGCATTGAACGTGTACATGATTCCTGCAGCTTTCCTGTTGAGCCAGACCATGTTCATCAATGCTTTTTGGTACACTAATTCTACATCTTCTTGGGTGACCACAGTTTATGTTTATTTCATTTTTCAGGAATATCCAGCCACTGGTGCACAGCCATTGCCACTTGTGCCCCCAGGGGATCTTGTCAACTCCAGTATGTCCCCCCAGCACTGTGTTATCTGGCATAATAAATGTAGTTGGGCTGTAGTTGTAGTGACTCCTCCCAAAACAACCCAGGAGTTTAATACTGTTTGGCCACTGGTTACAGACATTGCTGCCCCTTCTGCTGCGGCTTTAAAAGCCTATCTAATCGGCTGGGTGTGGTGGCTCAGACCTATAATCCCAGCACTTTGGGAGTCCGAGGTGGGTGGATCACCTGAGGTCAGGAGTTTGAGACCAGCCTGGCCAACATGGTGAAACCCCATCTCTACTAAAAATACAGCAAATTAGCTGGGCGTGGTGGCGCATGACTGTAATCCCAGCTACTCGGGAGGCTGAGGTAGGAGAATTGCTTAGGTGGCAGAGTAAGACTCCGTCTCAAAAAAAAAAGTTATTTAATCAGGGACGTCACCTTTCCCTGCCAGTCATTTTGTTACAAATGAAAGAAAACATATTCAAATCAATTTTTAGTTCAGAAAATGTTTCTTTCATTGTATCTTTGAATTTTATTGTTCTGCATTTTTTACTTCAAAAACACCTACTATATGCATTTTTTCTCTCGTTTCCTTTTTTTTCCAAGAAATGTTTTTGTCCTTTTGATTTTTTCACTGACCATTACCATTATTTATATACCATGTACCTGGAGAGTTTCCAACGTTTCTCTTTGGTCTGAGAAGATACTTGCTATGATTTTCATTTTTTAAATGCTTTTTTGAGATTTGTTTTGTGGCCTAAAATGTGGTCTATCCTGGAGAATGTTCTGTGAGCTGATGAGAAGAATGCACATTCTGCAGTTGGTGGGTGAAATGTTCTGTAATTACCTGTGAGGTCCCTTTGACTTCTCTTGGAGTCAGTCTGGTCTTTGTTACTTTTCTGCCTAGAGGGTGTGTCTGTTGCTGAAAGTGGGTGTTGGAGTCCCCAGCTATTATTGTCTGTCTCTGTCTGTTGCTCGAATAACTCTTACTTTAATAACTGGGGCTCCTGTGTCAGGGTGTTTACATTGACAACTGTCCTACCTTCTTGCTGAATTGATCTCTTTATCGTTTTATAATGACCTTTATTTTCTATTTTTGTGCTTTTTTGACTTAAAGCCTACTTTGTGTGACAAGCACAGCTATACATACTCACTTTTGGTAACACCTTTCATTTCTTATCATCTTCATTGAATCTCACTTCTTCACATTTGCCAAAATGTCTACTTTTGAGCTGTGGCACCTCTTTGAATCTTCAGATCCACCACATGCTGATCAAGCCTTCCTTTTTGTCTGTACTCTGAGGAATCCCAAACAGGCATTTTTGCAAGAAAGTCTAGGAGGGAAACATAAATCTATGTGTCAGAAGAATTAACATAGAAAATAGTGTGTCCTGGTTAACAAAAGTTCTCATTGTAAAGTGTTATGCACAAGACTATGAAATTTCATGTGCCATAAATAAAATTGTCTTGATTTGTCTAAAACTACGTTTTGTCTAAAACTACTCTTAAAAATTACATGTTACTCTAATAAATGTATTTTTGGCTGGGCGCAGTGGCTCACGCCTGTAATCCCAGCACTTTGGGAGGCCGAGGCGGGTGGATCACGAGGTCAGGATATCGAGACCATCCTGGCTAACACGGTGAAACCCTGCCTCTACTAAAAATACAAAAAAAAAGTAGCCAGGCTTGGTGGCAGGTGCCTGTAGTCCCAGCTACTCAGGAGGCTGAGGCAGGAGAATGGCGTGGACCTGGGAGGTGGAGGTTGCAGTGAGCCGAGACTGCGCCACTGCACTCTAGCCTGGGCGACAGAGCAAGACTCTGTCTCAAAAACAACAACAACAACAAAAAAAACATATTTTTTCCAACTATATTCTTTCTTTTTTTCAAGATTATTTTGACTATATTGGGTTTGTTGTATTTCTACTGGGTCCACTTGTCTACAAAAAAGTCTTTTGACAGGGATTGTGTGGAATCTATAGATTAATTTGGGAAACACTGACATATTAACGTTAAGTCTTTCAATCCATGCATGCAAAATGTCTTTCTTAGGTCTTCTTTAGTTTCTTTGAAAAATGTTTTCTAGGCTGGGCGCGGTGGCTCACGCCTATAATCCCAGCACTTTGGGAGGCCGAGGCGGGCAGATCACGAGGTCAGGAGTTCAAGACCAGCCTGGCCAACATGGTGAAACCCCGTCTCCACTAAAAATACAAAAATTAGCTGGGCATGGTGGTGTGCACCTGTAATCTCACCTACTGGGGAGGCTGAGGCAGGAGAATGGCTTGAACCCAGGAAGCAGAGGTTGCAGTGAGCCGAGATCATGTCACTGCACTCCAGCCTGGGTGACAAGCAAGACTTCATCTCAAAAAAAAAAAAAAAAAAAAGAAAAAGAAAAAGAAAAATGTTTTCTAGTTTTCAGTGCACAAGTTTTACACTTCTTTTGTTAAATTTATTCCTAAGCATTTTATTATTTTTGATGCTATTGTAAATGGAATGTGTTAATCTATTCTTGCATTACTATAAATAAATACCTGAGACTGAGTAATTTATAAAGACAAGAGGTTTAATTGGCTCATGGTTCTGCAGTCTGTACAAGCAGCATAGCAGCTTCTGCTTCTGGGAAGGCCTCAGGAAGCTTCCAATCATGGCAGAAGGCAAAGGAGAAGTGAGGTATCTCACATGGTGAAACCAGAAGGAAGAGGGGGTGGGGGTGGGGGTGCCATATACTTTTGTTTGTTTGAGACGGAGTCTCACTCTGTCACTCTGGCTGGAGTATAGTGGCATGATCTTGGCTCACTGCAACCTCCGCCTGCCAGGTTCAAGTGATTCTCCCACCACAGCCTCCCGAGTAGATGAGATTATAAGCACATGCCACCATGCTCAGCTAATTTTTGTATTTTTAGTAGAGACAGGGTTTCACCATGTTGGCCAGGCTGGTTTTGAACTCCAGACCTCAAGTGATCCACCCACCTCGGCCTCCCAGAGTGCTGGGATTACAAATGTGAGCCACCGCACCCAGTCTATATAATTTTTTTTTTTTTTGAGATGGAGTCTCGCTCTGTCACCCAGGCTGGAGTGCGGTGGTGTGATCTTGGCTCACTGCACCCTCCACCTCCCGGGTTCAAGCAACTCTCGTGCCTCAGCCTCCCCAAGTAGCTGTGACTACAGGTGAGCGCCACCATGTCCAGCTGATTTTTTGTATTTTAGTAGAGATGGGGTTTCAGTGTGTTGCCCAGGCTGGTCTCGAACTCCGGAGCTCAGAAAATCCACCTGCCTCAGCCTCCCAAAGTGCTCAGAGGCATGAGCCGCTGCACCTGGCTGGGGCCTATATACTTTTAAACAACCCGATCTCATGAGATCTCACTCACTATCATGAGAACAGCACCACGGGGATAGTGCTAAACCATTCATGAGAAACTGCCTCCATGATCCAATCACCTCCCACCATGCCCGACCTCAAACAGAGAAACCGCCTCCATGGTCCAATCACCTCCCACCATGCCCGACCTCAAACAGAGAAACCGCCTCCATGGTCCAATCACCCCCCACCATGCCCGACCTCAAACAGAGAAACCGCCTCCATGGTCCAATCACCCCCCACCATGCCCGACCTCAAACAGAGAAACCGCCTCCATGGTCCAATCACCCCCCACCATGCCCGACCTCAAACAGAGAAACCGCCTCCATGGACCAATCACCTCCCACCATGCCCGACCTCAAACAGAGAAACCGCCTCCATGGTCCAATCACCTCCCACCATGCCCGACCTCAAACAGAGAAACCGCCTCCAGGGTCCAATCACCTCCCACCATGCCCTACCTCAAACAGAGAAACCGCCTCCAGGGTCCAATCACCTCCCACCATGCCCGACCTCAAACAGAGAAACCGCCTCCAGGGTCCAATCACCCCCCACCATGCCCGACCTCAAACAGAGAAACCGCCTCCAGGGTCCAATCACCCCCCACCATGCCCGACCTCAAACAGAGAAACCGCCTCCATGGTCCAATCACCCCCCACCATGCCCGACCTCAAACAGAGAAACCGCCTCCATGGTCCAATCACCCCCCACCATGCCCGACCTCAAACAGAGAAACCGCCTCCATGGTCCAATCACCTCCCACCATGCCCGACCTCAAACAGAGAAACCGCCTCCATGGTCCAATCACCTCCCACCATGCCCGACCTCAAACAGAGAAACCGCCTCCATGGTCCAATCACCCCCCACCATGCCCGACCTCAAACAGAGAAACCGCCTCCAGGGTCCAATCACCTCCCACCATGCCCGACCTCAAACAGAGAAACCGCCTCCATGGTCCAATCACCCCCCACCATGCCCGACCTCAAACAGAGAAACCGCCTCCAGGGTCCAATCACCCCCCACCATGCCCGACCTCAAACAGAGAAACCGCCTCCATGGTCCAATCACCCCCCACCATGCCCGACCTCAAACATTGAGGATTACAATTTGACAGTCCCCAATGTCAGGTCCTTTCCACATTTCATGCCTTCCCAACAGTCCCCTAAAGTCTTAACTCATTCCAGCATTAACTCAAAAGTCCAAAGTCCAAAGTCTCATCTGAGACAAGGCTAGTTCCTTCCACCTATAGGTCTGTAAAATCAAAAACAAGTTAGTTACTTCCAAGATACAATTGAGGTATAGGAATTAGGTAAATATTCCCATTCCAAAAGGGAGAAATCAACCAAAACAAAGGGGCTACAGGCCCCATGCAAGTCTGAAACCCAGCAGGGCAGTCATTAAATCCTAAAACTCCAAAATAATCTCCTTTGACTCCATGTCCCACATCCAGGGCAACTGATGGAAGGCGTGGACTCCCAAGGCCTTGGGCAACTCTGCCCCTGTGGCTTTGCAAGGCTCAGCCCCCGACACCACTCTCAAGGGCTGGTTTTGAGTACCTGCAGCTTTTCCAGGCACAGAGTGCAAGCTGCTGGTGGATCTACCATTCTGGGGTCTGGAAGATGGTGGATCTCTTCTCACAGCTCCACTAGGAAGTGTTCCAATGGGGACTCTGCGTGGGAAATCCAACTCCACATTTCCCCTCCTCACTGCCCTGGTAGAGGTTCTCCATGCTGCTGCATGGGGCAGAGCCTTCATGGAGGACCTCTACTAGGGCAGTGAGGCTTCTGCTTAGACATTCAGGCTTTTCTATACATCCTCTGAAATACAGGCAGAGTCTCCAAAGCCTCAACTCTTGCACTCTGAACTCACAGGCATATTACCACATGGAAGCCACCAAGGCTTATGGCTTGCACCCTCTGAAGCAGTGGCCTAAGCTGTACCTGGGCCTGTTTGAGCCATGGCTAGGCTGAGATGCAGGGAGCAGTGTCCCGAGGCTGCACAGGACAGCAGGAGCCCTAGGTCTGGCCCAGAAAACCATTCTTCCCTTCTAGGCCTCTGAGTCTGTGATGGGAGGGGCCATGGTGAAGGTCTCTGAAATGTCTTCTATGCTTTTCCCCCATTGTCTTGGCTATTAGCACTTGGCACCTTTTTACGTATGCAAATTTCTGCAGCCTGCTTGAATTCATCCCCTGAAAATGGCCTTTTCTTTCCAGGCTGCAAAATTTCCAAACTTTTACACTCTGCTTCCCCTTTAAATATAAGTTCCAACTTTAGGTCATTTCTTTGCTCATGCATATGAGTGTAGGTTGTTAGAAGCAACTGGGTCACATCTTGAATGCTGTGCTGCTTAGAAATTTCTTCCACCAGATAGCCTAAATCATCACTCTCAAGTTCAAAGTTCCACAGATCCCTATGGCAGGGGCACAACGCAGCTATGCACCCAGGTTCTTTGCTAAGGTATAACAAAAGTGACCTTTGGCCAGGCGCGGTGGCTCACGCTTGTAATCCCAGCACTGTGGGAGGCCGAGGCAGGTGGATCACGAGGTCAGGAGATCGAGACCATCCTGGCTAACACGGTGAAACCCCGTCTCTACTAAAAATACAAAAAAATTAGCCGGGCGTGATGGCGGGCGCCTGTAGTCCCAGCTACTCGGGAGGCTGAGGCAGGAGAATGGCGTGAACCCGGGAGGCGGAGCTTGCAGTGAGCCGAGATTGCGCCACTGCACTCCCGCCTGGGCCACAGAGCAAGACTCTGTCTCAAAAAAAAAAAAAAGTGACCTTTGCTCCAGTTCCCATCAAGTTCCTCATTTGCATTTGAGACCTCATCAGCCTGGCCTTCACTGTCCACATCACTACTGGCATTTTGATCTAACCATTCAACCAGTCTCTAAGAAGTTCCAAGCTTTCCCTCATCTTCCTGTCGTTTTCTGAGCCCTCCACATTCTTGCAACCTCTGCCTGTTACCCAGTTCCAAAGCTGCTTCCACATTTTCAGCTATCTTTACAGTAATGCCCCACTCCTTGGTACCAATTTTCTGTATTAGTCTGTTCTTGTATTGCTATAAAGAAATACCTCAGAGTAGGTAATTTTATTTATTTTTTAAAATTTATCTATTTATTTTTGAGACAGTCTCACTCTGTCACCCAGGCTGGAGTGCAGTGGCATGATCTTGGCTCACTGCAACCTCCACCTCCTGGGTTCAAGCAATACTCGTGCCTCAGCCACCCAAGTAGCTGGGATTATAGGTGTGCACCACCACAGCTGGTTGATTTTTTGTATTGTTAGTAGAGATGAAGTTTCACTATGTTGCCCAGGCTGGTCATTTACTCATAGCCTCAAGTGATCCACCTGTCTCAGCCTCCCAAAGTGCTGGGGTTACAGGCATGAGCCACCATGCCTGGCATAGACTGGGTAATTTATAAAGAAAAGAGGTTTAATTGACTCATGATTTTACAGGCTGTACAGGAAGCATAGTGGCTTCTGCTTCTGGGGAGGCCTCGAGAAGCTTCCAATCATGGCAAAAGGTAAAGGCAGAGCAAGGCATCTCACATGGTGGGAGCAGGAGTGACAGAGAGAGGGGAGGGACTATACACTTTTAAACAAACAGATCTCAAGGGAACTCACTATCACGAGACCACCACCAAGGGGATTGTACTAAACCATTCATGAGAAAATGCTACTATGATCCACTCACCTCCCATCAGGCCCCACTTCCAACACTGGGGATTATAATTCGACCTGAGATTCAGGTGGGGACATGGATCCAAATCATTATCAGAATTGTTTTCTTAATTTCATTTTTGAGTGTTCATTACTAGGGTATAGAAATACAACTGATTTTTGTGTATTGGTCTTGTATCCTGCAACTGAGGTGTTTTGTTTTGAGACAGAGTCTTGCTCTGTGCCCCAGGCTGGAGTGCAATGGTGTGATCTTGGCTCACTGTAACCTCCGCCTCCTGGGTTCAAGTGATTCTCCTGCCTCAGCCTCCTGAGTAGCTGGGATTACAGGCGCCTGCCACCATGCCCAGCTAATGTTTATATTTTTAGTAGAGACGGCATTTCACCATGTTGGCCAGGCTGGTCTTGACCTCCTACCTCAGGTGATCCACCTACCTCAGCATCCCAAAGTGCTGGGATTACAGGCATGAGCTACCACGCCCAGCCACAACTGAGTTTTGTATTTTGGTCCTGTATCCTGAAACCTTGCTGAACTCCTTCATTAGCTCTCATAGTTTTTTTGTAGATGCCTTAGGATTTTCTATATTCAGGATCATGTCATCTGCAAACATAGTTTTACTTCCACCTTTCCTATCTGGATGCCTTTTAATACTTTTTCTAGCCTGTCTGGTTAGAAATTCCAATACAATATTAATAGAAATAATGAGTGAACATCCTTGTATTTGTTCTTGACTTTAGGGAGAAAGCTCTCAATCTTTTACCCTAAAGCATGAAATTATCTGTGGATTTTCAGAGATACCCTTTCATGGGTTGGGAAGGTTCCCTCCTATTCCTAGTTTATTCATTGTTTTTATTTTGAATTTTATCAAATGCTTTATCTGAAGTTACTGAGATGATTATGTGGGTTTTGTGCTTTATTCTATTAATATGGTGTATTATATTGATTTTCATCTGATGGACAAACTGCATGCATTCCTGGGATAAATCCCATATGGTCATGATATATCATCCCTTTATATGTTGCTAGATTCAGTTCACTAGGCTTTTGTTAAGGATTTTTATATCTAAATTCATAGGAGATATTGGTTGGTAGTTTTCCTTCTTGTGTTTTTTTTTTTCTGGCTTTGGTATCTGGGTAATACTAGCCTCATAGAAGGAGTTGGGAAGTATTTCCTCCTCTTCTATGCTTATGGAAGAGTTTATGAACAATTAATATTAATTCCTCTTTACATGTTTGGTAGAATTCACCAGTCAAGCCATCTGGCCCTGGGCTTTTTTGTGGGGGAAGGATTTTTTATTACTAATTCAATATCTTTTCTTGTTATACATCTTTCAGATTTTCCACTTCTTCTTGAGTCAATTTCAGTAGTTTGTGTGTTTCTAGAAACTTGTTCATTTCATCTAAGTTATCTAATTTGACACAGTTGTCCATAGTATTCCCTTATAATTCTTTTTATTTTGTAAGGTCAGTAGTAACATCTACACTCTCATTCCTAATTTTAGTAATTTTGGACCTTTTCTCCTCTATGCTTGATTAGCCTAGCTAAAAGTTTTAGCTAGCTAAAAGCTAAAAGTAAATTTTGTTGATATTTTCAAAGAACCAACTTCTGGTTTCCTTTATTTTTTTCCATTGTTTTTCTACCTCTATTTCATTTATTTCCACTTTGCACATTAATATTTCCTTCCTTCTGCTTGCTTTGAGTGTAGTTTGATCTTCTTTTCCAGTTTCTTAAAGTGGAAGTTTAAGTTATTGATTTGAGATCTTTCTTCTTTTCAATATAGGCATTTACAACTATCAATTTAGCTCTAAGTAATGTAGTAGTATTGGATATAAGGTACTTTTAATGAACTTAAATTGCTATGGTACTTAGATTTCTTTGGATACATTTTAAAATATGGGATAGTAAGCCAGGTGCAGAAGCATGTACCTGTAGACCCAGCTACTTGGGATGCTGAGGTAGGAGGATTACTTGAGCCCAGGAGTTCGAGACCAGCCTAGGGAATATAGTGAGACCCTGCCTCTAAAAAAATTGTTTAAATTTTAAAAAGTGGCAGCACACAGTGGCTCACACCTGTAATCCCAGCACTTTGGGAAGCTGAGGCAGGAGATCACTTGAGTTCAGGAGTTCAAGACCAGCCTGGGCAACATGGCGAAAGCCCATCTCTACCAAAAATACAAAAATTAGCCAGGCATGGTGGCACATGCTGTGGTCCCAGCTACTCAGGATGCTGAGCCAGGAGGATCACTCGAGCCCAGGAAGTCAAGGCTGCAATAAGCCGTGATCGCACCACTGCACCCCAGCCTGGGTGACAGAGCAAGACCCTGTCTCAAAAAAATAAATAGAAAAGAAAGTATGGGATAATAGTGACAGTTTATTTTTTAAACATCAATATATGTAATAACTTAGTATTTAACTATTTAAACTTACGATAAAAAAAAGCTTTAAATGTCAACAAAGGAGGTATATAGATTTTCAAAACTCTTTTAGAGGGCAATAAGCAAGTCTGAAGCAGGCTCCAGTAAAGGCCATCACTGAATCTGGAGAAGTGACCGTGTCCAAGTTTGTCAGTGAAGCCACCCAAAAGGAATGGGTTCAGCTGGACAGGGCAGGCATTGTCTGCCATTATGCAGAACAAGAATGCAGAGTCAGAAATTAATGAGGTATTAAGAATGAAGAAAACTATACTGTTTGCACACCTGAGTTTGTGACTAAAAAATTCACATCATGATTATAAAAGTAATGATGATGATTAGAGCACACAAGAGCCTTTTAAGACAGATGCTATGTTTTGAAAACCTCCTGCTGGATGGGAAAGTACAAATGAGAACCTTTCCTTGGTTGGCACAATTCCTTCCCTTCCTGGGCATCACCTTACTAACTAGAACTAAAGAGCCATATTTGCAATGCTAATACCCAGCCCTGGGGAGAGCCCACAGTTGCCCATCCGCCTTACTTACCTCAGGAACACAATTGCTAACTTCCCAAACAAAAAGCTGCCCAAATGTCAGCCACAGCTACCAGTGACCAAAACACAGGAGCTCCCAGAAAAGAAGAGGAGCAACAACCACAGGCTGGTATCAACTTAGATGGGGGACAGTAAGGACTCAGGTCCTAAGACGGGGGCAGGGGGAACTGGCTGCAGAATAGAACACTAAGGAAATCTGTCAGAAAATAGTCAGGAACAAGGTAGGAAAAGTGTCCAGCCCTGATCTTCCCCCAGAGAAACAGATCTTGTCAAAAGAAGGTACATTCTATAAATTTACAGTGCCAGGCAGAGTCCCCCAATCCTCAGAGAGCTGGAGTAGGGATTTGGAACAAGATCTAAGAACCCCCAGGTACCAGGGGACCCAGATCCTAGGACTGCTGAAGTACAGAAGAGAGCCAGAGTGGTTGCTGCCCAATGACAACCACTGACTCCTCCAGCACCTCAGGCTATCCCCAGTAAGAAGCATCCCAGACTGTGCATTTCCAACCCTGCTGAAAAGCAGGACAAGGAGAAAGGGCTGACTCTGCCTCAGCTGCAGATGAGGCTGTGCAGTCTGCAGACAATTGTGGGTTCATTACTGACAGTAGAAATGGCACTGGAAATTGTCGGGATCAGAGCAAAGGGGCTTCTGAGTGAACTAGGAACACCAGCACTGACAGCAAAACCACCCAGCTAAACAAACAGTAGGATATACGTAATTCCAGCAAGGTCACAAAACATAAGATCAATACACAAAAATCGATTATTTTTCTATATACCAGCAATGAACAATTCAAAAATGAAATTTAAAAAATAATTCCATTCATAATAGTATCAATACAATAAAATGCTTAGGGATAAATTTTACAAAAAATGCACTTCTTTGATACAATAAAACTTTTATACACTAAAACTGGTGCTGAGAGAAATTAAAGAAGATTTAAATAAATGAGGGGACATCCATATTTATGGATTGGAAAACTCAATCTTGTTAAGATGACAATTCTCCCCAAATTGATCTATAGCTTCAATGCAATCCTTTCAAAATTCCACCTGCCTTTTTTGCAGGAATTAACAAGCTGATCCTAAAATTGATATGAAAATACAAATAACCTAGAATAGCCAAAACAATTTTGAAAAAGAACAAAGTTGGAGGACTTACAGTTCCTAATTTCAAAACATATTATAAATCTACAAAAATAAGGACAGGCTGGGCACGATGGCTCATGCTTATAGTATCAGCTACTTGGGAGGTTGAGGTGGGAGGATCACTTGAGCCCAGGACTTCAAGGCTGTAGTGAGCTATGATCACACCACAGTACTCCAGCCTAGGCAACAGAGCAAGACTATCTAGAAAAAGAAAAAAAAAAATCAGGAGAGTGTACTGGCATAGGGATTGACATATAGATCAATTAAACAGAATTGAGAGCTCAAAAATAAACTCAACATTTATGGCCAACTGATTTTCAACAAAGCTGCCAGAAAAATTCAAACTGGAAAGAATATTATTTTCAACAAACGGTGTGGGACAATATTCACATGCAAAAAGATAAATTTAGGTACTTCACACTAGTCATTAAAAACAGCTCAAAAACTGAGATGTGAGGAGCACCTCTGCCCGGCTGCCCCGTCTGGGAAGTGAGGAGCGTCTCTGCCCAGCCGCCCCACCTGGGAATTGAGGAGCGCCTCTGCCCGGCCGCCCATCTGGGAAGTGAGGAGCGCCTCTGCCCGGCCGCCACCCCGTCTGGGAAGTGGGGAGTGCCCCTGCCTGGCCACCCCGTCTGGGAAGTGAGGAGCGCCTCTGCCCGGCCACCCATCATCTGGGAAGTGAGGAGCGCCTCTGCCCGGCCGCCCCATCTAGGAAGTGAGGAGTGCCTCTGCCCAGCCGCCACCCCGTCTGGGAAGTGAGGAGCGCCTCTGCCCAGCCGCCACCCCGTCTGGGAAGTGAGGAGCGCCTCTGCCCGGCCGCCCATCATCTGGGAAGTGAGGAGCGCCTCTGCCCGGCCGCCCCATCTAGGAAGTGAGGAGTGCCTCTGCCCAGCCGCCACCCCGTCTGGGAAGTGGGGAGTGCCTCTGCCCAGCCGCCACCCCGTCTGGGAAGTGGGGAGTGCCCCTGCCCGGCCACCCTGTCTGGGAAGTGAGGAGTGCCTCTGCCCGGCCGCCCATCATCTGGGAAGTGAGGAGTGCCTCTGCCCGGCCTCCCCATCTAGGAGTGAGGAGTGCCTCTGCCCGGCCGCCCCATCTGGGAGGTGTACCCAACAGCCCCGAAGAGACAGCGACCATCAAGAACAGGCCATGATGATGATGGTGGTTTTGTCTAAAAGAAAGGGGGAAATGTGGGGAAAAGAAAGAGATCAGATTGTTACTGTGTCTGTGTAGAAAGAAGTAGACATAGGAGACTCCATTTTGTTCTGTACTAAGAAAAATTCTTCTGCCTTGGGATGCTGTTAATCTATAACCTTACCCTGAACCCCATGCTCTCTGAAACATGTGCTGTGTCAACTCAGGGTTAAATGGATTAAGGGCGGTGCAAGATGTGCTTTGTTAAACAGATGCCTGAAGGCAGCATGCTCGTTAAGTGTCATCACCACTCCCTAATCTCAAGGACCCAGGGACACAAACACTGCGGAAGGCCACAGGGACCTCTGCCTAGGAAAACCAGAGACCTTTGTTCACGTGTTTATCTGCTGACCTTCTCTCCACTATTATCCTATGATCCTGCCACATCCGCCTCTCCGAGAAACACCCAAGAATGATCAATAAATAAAAAAATAGCTTAAAAAGAGTCACAGATCTACATATAAGAACTAAAATTACAGGCAGGGTGCAGTGGCTCACGCCTGTAATCCCAGCACTTTGGGAGGCTGAGGTGGGCAGATCACAAGGTCAGGACTTCAAGACCAGCCTGGCCAATGTGGTAAAACCCCATCTCTACTAAAAATACAAAAATTAGCCAGGCATGGTGGCATGCGCCTATAGTCCCAGGTACTTGGGAGGCTGAGGCATAAGAATTGCTTGAACCCGGGAGGTGGAGATTGCAGTTAGCTGAGCTCATGCCACTGTACTCCAGCCTGGGCAACCAAGTGAGACTCCATTCCAAAAAAATAAAAAACCTAAAATTACAAAATGTTTAGAAGAAAATAATCCTGTGACCCTGGATTATGTGGAGTCCTAATTAGGGAAAAGGAATCAGGCTGGTGGGATTGAGGGAAAGCAACAAGAAAAAGCAGATAAGCTATAAGTTTTCCTTTCTTCATGGTCCAGGACACACAGCCCTCCTGAGCAAATAACTCACAATCTTCCTGCACCCAGCTATCACCAGACCCTCAGCTGATAGAAAAATGCAATTTAGTTCACTGCAACGTTGGTGTTATCAGTATACACAAAGCCCTCTTCAGTACACAGCACAAGCGCCATCCTATAAAATCCCCAGCAGGCCTTTGTTTCCTTGCAGTTACCTCCACACTTGCTAACTTGCCCATTGCTTCCTTGCAACATATTTTCCTACTTTCTCTAATAAATCAGCCTTTCTTAACCTACAACTGTCTTGGTAAATTCTTTGAACCATCACGCCACCAGCCCCAGATAGTCACCACTCACCCATGACATTTTGGTGGCCCATATAAGGACTCTCTCTCCTTACAGGGAATCCTCTCCATTCTCTTTCCCAACTTGTGATCCTTGGTGGCCAACATCTGAGCACAGAGACAACTAAAGGTCTCTGGCCAGACCTACACTCCAGTGGGACTGACAGGTGTCCATGTGGAAGCGTTTGACCCACCACCAGGTTCAGGTGAAGGACCTAAATTTACTTTCACTTTTCAGTCTCCCAGCAGCTGGCTTCTAGTATCCAACAATTGATGGCAACTGGCCAGGGCCACTCTCTGGTGTTGTCTGAAGGCCAAAGGGTGAATAGGGCTGAGTGCCCTGCCCAACAGGAAGGAAAGCTCTCTCCTATCTTTTCTGGTCAAAAGTCCCTAAACCCTATGTGTGACACAACTGACAGCAGAAGACTCGTACCCTCTCTTTCTCACTCTGAATTATCCATCTTGTTCAGGACTTTGCTAAATCAGGTGATCCAGACAGCCTCAGAACAATGAGTCTTCCCTTATCCGCCCGCTCTTCTGACTGGCACCAGGCTGAGTTCTTCCTTTACCCTTTTTCCTCATACCTGGGCTGATCACCCAGCGTCAGTACCTGGACTGGCCACCGATTGTAAAGCCCCTGAGCAGCCAAGAGGTCTTTTCTAACGGTGGGAGGCCCCTTTAGAAAGTGTACCCTGAGTCCCTCAGCAGACATAAGTGGAGCCCTTTTCATCTTGGCAGGATATCCAGAGAGAATGCACAGTTCAAATAGACCCAAGCAGCATGTTTTCCAGTCCCATCATGGGATAAACCCCATCTATTCCTTTAGCCTCACCTCTAGGCTGCATTCTAAAACACTGGAGAAATTTAACCTTTAGACTCTCAAGAAGAAACGTCTAATTTTCTTGTGTAATACAGCATGGCCCCTGTGCAGAAAATCCTCAAATTAGCCTCCTCAGTCTTTCATAGCCAAAAGCAGAATAAGGAGGACAGGGCTAAAAAGAAAGAAAACCACAGGGACAAAAGGCAGGCTCAGCTCTTGGCTGCTTTACAAGCCCTCAGCCCCCTCCAGGTTTCCCTAAGAACACTCCTCCAAATAACCGTCATTGGTACAAAAGGCTAGGCCACTAACAGGCAAACTGCCCTAATGGGATAAATGGGAAAAAAACCCACATGGCTTACCCCAACCCATGAGCTCGGCCGCTAGAAAAGGGACTGCACTGAGGACCGAAGGGCCCCTGGAACAGAATCCTGACCCCTGATGGCCTTAAGCTGAAGGGGCTCTCTGCTCCCGCTGGAGACAGCTCACTTTAACTGGTGGCTTGTGGAGGTAGGAGGAATTCATCCCATACTGTGTAGGTCTGGGGTGCTAAGGCTCTCCCTGATAGGAAATGAGCGAGAGGGGTAGGGATGCTGCCCTGCGCTGTCCAGTGGCTGCAGGCTCAAAAGCCATCCTGTAAAGCTTAACCTTTTCCTCTATTCCTTTCTTTTCTTTTTCTCTTTTTCTGTTCAATCCAGGAGTCTAACCTTAAATGGGAAAAAACAGTTTGTAATATCCTAGCCTGATTTTATTGTTCTCTTTAAAACTCCAGCTGCTTACATATTATGCTGTTTTTGTGCACATTTTAAACTAATGGGCAAATTACAAAAAAAAAATTCAGAGCTCAAATATTTAACTTGCACTACAGAGTTAAACAGTCTTCTAAAGCTCTCGATTTTCCTCTCTCTTTTTCTTCCTGCTTTAGAACTGCTGTTACTAAGCTGCTGCTGCTGAAATAAGACTCATTATTTATGGTCTAACTAGAATGTAAACACTGGAAACTCTTTTAAAGTTAAGAAAAAAAAAGGTTAAAGAAGTTTTGTTAAACCAAACAACCTAGAATTTTTTAACCTCCCTTAAAGTTGATGGAAATAAATCCAGCACCTCTTTTAAATCTGTTTTGTCTTGTTTTGAGACAGAGTCTCTCTCTGTCACCCAGGCTGGAGTGCAGTGGCACCATCTCAGCTCACTGCAACCTCCACCTCCTGGGTTCAAGCGATTCTCCTGCCTCAGCCTCCTGAGTAGCTGTGATTACAGGCATGTGCCACCAAGCCCAGCTAATTTTTGTATTTTTAGTAGAGACGGGATTTCACCATGTTGGCCAGGCTGGTCTCGAACTCCTGGCTGCAAGTGCTCCATCAGCGTCAGCCTCCCAAAGTGCTGGAATTACAGGCATGAGCCACCGTGCTGGGCTAAATCTTCTTCTTAAAGCGAACTCTTTGCATTCAGTTCTACCACAGGATCTCAGTAATTCTCCAACTGCCTGTTAAGCAGCTTCACCCTCTTGATATTAATGCTTTTATAAGGGAGATAGTACACGATTGCTATTTGCAGAGGAACCTCCAAAACTATCACCCAGATGAAACTTCTTTATATTTGTCCTAGTGATGTTATTTACCCCCACACCACAACTTCAATGTGCTGAAGTACTAGTATTTAACTGTTTTTCTCATACTCTTTACAGCCCATCTTCTTTCCTGCCTTCCTAAGTTTACCATATATTGTCATTTTCCTTAAATATGATTCTGTTTTTACTCTATCATAGCTAGCTACTGCCTCAAATGGCTGCACCCAAGCACCCACTCTACCCAGTAATATCTCAAGTTGCTAACGTAACACACAATACTGACTGCTGAATATGCCCACACAAGCAGGCACTTGAGGATGACATTACACTCCTTCCTAGCTGTTGCACTATCTATAGAAGAAATTGTTAACATACAAGCCCAATAGTCTGGATTCGACTACACCACTTACACACACACCAAAAACGCAGGTTTAAGAGGGGGACCTAGGCCAATGGATGCCTCATGGCAATCATCCACCATGACAAAGTGGATCGGGAAGGCACCAGAGATGGCCTGTAAGGCAAACCTCTGCATTAGAAACTCCAAGGGGTTCGGCCCTTTCCTAGGGGCTTTAACACAAGTGCATTGCAATTCTGCCCTCAACTATAATCAGGTACACCAGGAACAGGTGCCATATGACGACTCTGATCAGCTCACTGTGGACGCCCACAGGCTTTCTCTATTGCGGGGAAACAACAAAGTTAATGCCTGCAAGATTGATGATGATGACTTTATGCCTATAAACAATTCAGCAATGGGGATGGAATATATAGGAATAGGGGTCAAGACTAGACAACTCCTCATCCTCACTAATACATCTACATCTTTTTCTCAATTTTCCCTTATCCCATTAATATTTAGAAATCTTTATCTGTCAGACCCCACTTCTCCCACCTGTAATAATGCTCATAGCAGTTCATTTGTACCATTCATTGTTAATGCAATGTCTCATTTTGTGTCTTCTAGAATACAACAATTTCAAACCAAAATGTTACTGCAGCAATGGTATCAGCCATTAAGGGTACTCCATTAACTCTCCTTTAAACACAGCAGGACAAAATTTTAGGCTGCTAAATAAATGCTGTTCCCCCATAGTCCCACAGTCACCCCGCCCAATTCAAGTCCCAACTCCGGGGTTTAGGCCCATATAACCTCCTAACAGGCCAGTAATCCTAGGTAGGGCCACCTCTATGCCCCTGGTCAGCAGGAAGCAGTTGGAAGATGAGACCTTCACCCACATGACAAAGATTTGTCACTATTGCTCTGTCAGCAAGAAAATGTAGAGTCTTAATTAGGGAAAAGGAGTCAGGCTGGTGGGACTAAGGGAAAGCAAAAAGAGAAGGCAGATAAGCTGTAAGTTTGCCTTTCTTCATGGTGCAGGACACGTAGCCCTCTTGGGCAAATAACTCACAGTCTTCCTGCACCTATCAACAGACCCTCGGCTGACAGAAAACTGCAGGTTAGCTCACTGGAACCTCGGTGTTATCAATACTGCACAAAGACCCCTTCAGCACACAGCACAAGCATCACCCTGTAAAATCCCCAGCAAGTCTTTGTCTCCTTGTAGTTAGCTTCTCTCTTGCAAACTTGCCTGTTGCTTCCTTGCAATGTATCTTCCTACTTTCTCTGATACATCTGCCTTTCTTTACCTGCAACTGTCTTGGTAAACTCTTTTTACCACCAAACCACCAGCCCCAGATAGTTACTGCTCACCCATGACAGATTAGACAGAGTCCTTCAAAAGCCTAATGCATAAAGAAAAATCTGATAAATTAAACTGCAGAAACATTTAAAAAATGTTTGCTCTTAAGAAGACATCACTTAGAAAATAAAAAGAAAAATCACAGACTAGAAAAAATATTTGCAAATCATATACCTGATCAAGGACTTGTATCTAGAATATATAAAGGCCTCTCATAACGCAATAAGTACACAAACAATTCAATTAAAATATGGGTAAAATATTTGAACATTTCACCGAGGAAGATATATAAACTGTTAACGAGCACACGAGTAGATGCTTGACATCATTAGTCATTAGAGAAATGCAAATTAAAGCCATAATGAGCTACCACTAGAATAGCTATAATTAGGTAAGACGTTGGTAAATTACAGAACCACCTGTTTCTGTATAATAAAGTTTTATTGCAATACAGCCCTCCCATTTATTTATAATGTATGGTCTATGCCTGCTTTTACACTATCATGGCAGAATTGAGTAGCTGCTACAGAGACCACAGTGGTCTGCAAATTCTAAAATATTTACTATCTGACCTTTCACAGAAAAAGTGACAAGTATTGGTGAGGTTGTGGTAGGTAAATCATACCTCAACACTGCTGATGGTGTGTCCAGAATTGGTGCGTTCTTGGTCTCACTGACTTCAAGAATGAAGCCGCGGACCCTCGCGGTGAATGTTACAGCTCTTAAGGTGGCGCGTCTGGAGTTTGTTCCTTCTGATATTTGGATGTGTTCGGAGTTTCTTCCTTCTGGTGGGTTCGGGGTCTCGCTGGCTCAGGAGTGAAGCTGCAGACCATTGCGGTGAGTGTTACAGCTCTTAAGGCAGCGCATCTGGAGTTGCTCTTTCTCCCTGGTGGGCTCCTGGTCTCACTGGCTTCAAGAGTGAAGCTGCAGACTTTTGCAGTGAGTGTTACAGCTCATAAAAGCAGTGTGGACCCAAAGAGTGAGTGAGCAGCAGCAAGATTTAAAGCAAAGAGTGAAAGAACAAAGCTTCCACAATGTGTAAGGGGACCCGAGCGGGTTGCCACTGCTGGCTGGGGCAGCCTGCTTTTATTCTCTTATCTGGCCCCACCCACGTCCTGCTGATTGGTAGAGCCCAGTGGTCTGTTTTGACAGGGCGCTGATTGGTGCATTTACAATCCCCGAGCTAGACACAAAGGTTCTCCACGTTTCCATCAGATTAGTTAGATACAGAGTATCCACACAAAGGTTCTCCAAGGCCCCACCAGAGCAGCTAGATACAGAGTGTCGATTGGTGCACTCACAAACCCTGAGCTAAACACAGGGTGCTGATTGGTGTGTTTACAAACCTTGAGCTAGATACAGAGTGCCAATTGGTGTATTTACAATCCTTTAGCTAGACATAAATGTTCTCCAAGACCCCACCAGAGCAGCTAGATACAGAGTGTCGATTGGTGCACTCATAAACCCTGAGCTAGACACAGGGTGGTGACTGGTGTGTTTACAAACCTTGAGCTAGATACAGAGTGCCGATTGGTGTATTTACAATCCCTGAGCTAGACACAGGGTGCTCCAAGGCCCCACCAGAGTAGCTAGATACAGAGTGCCGACTAGTGTATTTACAA
This sequence comes from Homo sapiens, assembly GCF_000001405.40. Classification (NCBI taxonomy): domain Eukaryota; kingdom Metazoa; phylum Chordata; class Mammalia; order Primates; family Hominidae; genus Homo; species Homo sapiens. The sequence goes on along the minus strand of NC_000005.10, from coordinate 177,688,743 downwards.
TCCCTGAGCTAGACATAAAGGTTCTCCATGTCCCCACCAGACTCAAGAGCCCAGCTGGCTTCACCCAGTGGATCCCGCACTGGGGCTGCAGGTGGAGCTGCCTGCCAGTCCCACGCCATGCGCTCGCACTCCTCAGCCCTTCGGTGATCGATGGGACTGGGCGCTGTGGAGCAGGGGGCAGTGCTCGTCGGGGAGGCTCGGGCTGCACAGGAGCCCACGGAGGCGGGGGAAGGCTCAGGCATGGCAGGCTGCAGTCCCGAGGCCTGCCCCGCGGGAAGGCAGCTAAGGCCCGGCGAGAAATCGAGCGCAGCGCCGGTGGGCTGGCACTGCTGGGGGACCCAGTACACCCTCCGCAGCCGCTGGCCCGGGTGCTAAGTCCCTCATTGCCCGGGGCCGGCAGGGCCGGCCGGCTGCTCCAAGTGCGGGGCACGCCAAGCCCACGCCTACCCGGAACTCCAGCTGGCCCGCAAGCACCGCACGCAGCCCCGGTTCCTGCTCGCGCCTCTCCCTCCACACCTCCCTGCAAGCTGAGGGAGTGGGCTCCGGCCTTGGCCAGCCTAGAAAGGGGCTCCCACAGTGCAGCGGTGGGCTGAAGGGCTCCTCAAGTGCCGCCAAAGTGGGAGCCCAGGCAGAGGAGGCGCCGAGAGCGAGTGAGGGCTGTGAGGACTGCCAGCACGCTGTCACCTCTCAATGGGAATGTGAAATAACAGTCTGGTGGCTTTTTAAAAGGTTAATCACAAATTTACCATATTACCCAGCCATTCCATTCCTAGGTAATAAAGAGAAATGAAATTGTATGTCCACATGGACTTGCACAGGGATGTTCACAGCAGCATTATTCATACAGCCAAAAAGTGGAAAGAACCAAATGTTAATCTACTGGTAAACAGACAAGTGAAATGCAGTCTATCTATACAATAGAATACTATTAAGAAATAGAAGGGCCTGGCGCAGTGGCTCACACCTGTAATCCCAGCACTTTGGGAGGCCGAGACGGGTGGATCACAAGGTCAGGAGATCAAGACCATCCTGGCTAACATGGTGAAACCCTGTCTCTACCAAAAATACAAAAAAAATTAGCCAGGTGTGGTGGTGGGCCCTGTAGTCCCAGCTACTCGGGAGGCTGAGGCAGGAGAATGGTGTGAACCTGGGAGGCGGAGCTTGCAGTGAGCTGAGATCACTCCACTGCACTCCAGCCTGGGCAACAGAGCGAGACTCTGTCTCAACAACAACAAAAAAAGAAATGATATATTGATACATGCTACAACATGGATGACCTCAAAACCACTACATTGAATGAAAGAAGCCCAATGCAAAAGATCAGATATTATACGATTTCATGTATATGAAATGTCCAGACGAAGCATTAAACCTAGAGACAGAAAGCAGATTAGCAGTTGCCTGAGCCTATGGGTAGGAATAGGGATTGGTTACAAATAAACAAAAGCAGGGGATTTTTGGGGGGTGATCAAAATATTCTAAAACTTGATTGTGATGGTGGTTACACAACCCTATAAATATACTAAAAATCATTAAATTATAACACTTAACATGTGTAAATATTGTGGTATGTAAACTGCCTCAACAAAGCTGTTTTAAGAAAGGCTATAAAAATTACATAACTTTCTAACGTAAATTACAAAGACAGAATCTGGTTCTTAAAGGAAAAATATCAAAGCAATGACATAGACAAGCTCACACTAGCCTAAAGGGGGTTGGGGGATAAATATACCATATAAAAAACAAGAAGAGATTAAACCACAAATGTGATTTCCCCCATTATAATAAGATAGTTTGTACAATTCTTTCCTGATGAATGTGTAAGTCTTGAATCAGACATGTTTTGAGAAAATATGAATTACCAAAATTGGTTCAAGAAGAACCATAAAATCAGAAGTTAAAAAAAAAAAACTTTGAAAAACAAGTACTGAAAGAAACATTCCATAAAAAGGCACCAGACCAAAGATTTTTATGTGCAAGTCCTTTTGAATTTTCAAGGAACAGTCAGTCCCAAATATTCATCAAATGTCTACGAGGTTATTGGACCCTGTGCCGGGCACTGAGCTGCAACAGTGTTCACAGTCGGGCATTCTCCACGCTCTCGCGGCACTCACAGTTGAAGAGGGGGGGCAAATGTTAATCAAAGGTACCACCTCTAGGCCCAATTATTAACTTAGGCTATGACCTAGAGAAAAGGGCCCCAATTCTCCAGAAAGTTGTAAGATATGTTCTTGACATAGATTGGAGGTTTGGAGAGTTTTCCATGACCTAGGGATGCTGTGCTGAGATCTGCCAGGGACTAAGCATTTCATAGAGGCTCCCATAAAGGCCCTGCCTGGGTCAAGGGGGAACATACCATGTTAGAAGGGTCACTATGGCTGAATTTCAGGGAGCAAGTGGGGAGTGTGGCACAATGAGACTAGAGATGTAGGCTGTGATAAGAAGACAGAGACTGGCAGGTCATCTTAAGGATTTGGGGGTTTTAGTCAAAGACTGATAGGAGATGATTAAAGCCTTTAAATGCATTAAAGCAGAACAAAAAGACATTTAAAAAAGAAAAGAAACATGATCAGATTTGTGTTTTGAAAATATCCCTCAAGCAATAGTATGGACAATGGACAGGAGACGGGCCTAGGGTAGATGTAAGGCAATAGGTTTGAAGGCTACAATAAGAGTCCTGGTGACAAAGAATCATGGCTTGGATAGCAGAGGAGATTTAAGAGATGATGCAGGAGTTAAGCAGGCTTGGAAATGGATTAGATACGTGGTTAAGGAGAGAGAGGAGCATGGCGGGCTATAAGCAACTGGATAGATGGTGGTAGTGTTATTCACTGAAATAGAAAACACAGAAAGAGAACCAAGTTTTGAGGGAAAGATAATTTGTTTTCTGAGTAGAGACTGAGGTGCTTTGGGGGTGATGAAGGATAATGCTGAGCGAACAGTTTCAAATGCAGGTGACTTGTTCTGGGAAGACGTCTGGGTTGGATGAAGAAACTGTCAACTGCATATTTACTGAGAGGCTGAGTGAGAACTCTGAGAAAGATTAGATTGAAAAGAGAAGAAGACTTTAAAGAGCTCATCACTGAAATGACTGCAGAGGAGAAAGAACTGGCAAAGGAATGAGAAGGAAGGATTGGGGAGGTAGAAGAATGTAGTGTGGTGGAATTAAAAGGAAGAGTGTTTCAGAGAGGGAGAGGTCAACAGTGTCAAATGCTGCCCAGAAGTCACGGCATCCTTTAGATATAACAATGTGTAGGTTGTATTCCTTATCTATTGCTGTGTAACAAATTACCCTAAACTTCAGCACCTTACAACAACAAATATATATTAACTGATTGCTGTGGTTTGAATGCATCCCCTCCAAAATTCAGGTGTTGCCAATGTGACAGTATGAAGGGGTGGGGTGTTTACGAGATGATTAGGCCATGAAGTTTCCTCTCTCATTAATGGGATTGAGGCCGTTCTAAAGGAGGCTTCTTGCAGCATTTGCTTAGCTCTCTCTTCTCCTCTTCAACCATGTGAGGACACAGTATTCCTCTCTCCCAGAGGATGCAGCAAGAAGGCCCTCACCACGTACCCGTGCTGGCACCTTGATCTTGGACTTCCCAGCCTCCAGAAACAGTGAGGAAATGAATTTCTGTTCTTTATAAATGACCCAGTCTTAGGTATTCTGTCACAGAAGCATGAACAGATTAAGATACTCATGCAGTTTCTGAAACTGAAGGATCCAGGAGCTGCTCAGCTGAGTGATTTGGGCCCAGTGTCTCATGAGGCTGCAGCCATCTAAAAGGCCAGTAGACCTGGAGGATCCTCATCCACCAAGGCCCACTCACACCTGGCTCTCCCAGAGTAGGCAATCTATGCAGGAGAGAAACGTTGAAGTCACATTGCCTTTTTCAACCCAGACTTGGAAATCACCCACCATCACTTCTGACACATTCTATTTATCATACGCAAGTCAACCAAGTACAACCTACACTTAAAGGGAGGGAAATTAGACCTGCCTTTTGAAGGAGGGACTTCTAAGGAATTTGTGGACATGTTTTAAAACCACCACAGAGGTCAGGGGACCTGAGTGAGCACTATCTCTGCTGACTAATGAGGAGTGGGAGCTAGATTGGGGTGGGTTGAGAAGTGAATATGAGGCTAGAAAATGGAGCCTGCTAATGTAGATGACTCTCTCAGGAAGTGTGTGAAGGAGAGAAAATTGATTAGAATAGTGTTGAGGCCTGATATGTTGGTAATCATTAGTCTGCAGGAATTAGAAGGAAATCCCAGAAAAATGGAGAGCAAATGGTGTCAGATTGAAGGAGAAAATCATAATCTAAAACATCCAGAGGAGAAAATCGCAACAAAAGGTAAGATCAACTTGATGGATCTCCAACCTCAGGAGCAGCAGATATGAGGAAACACGAGTGAGCCCTGGGCACCTAAGAGTAACCTTCTCCAGCGTTTGCAAAGCAACTGGCAGCAGAAGCTTAAGAGCAGTAAGTGCGAGTGTGAGCATCTGAGCCAGAGAGGCAGGGCGTTGCAGTGCCCATGGTAACTATGTGGTTTCCCCCAACACACACACATGCCTGTCCCAGAAGACTGGATGCTAACAAACCCTATCCCATTGCAAGTCCAAATTCTTTCCTGAAATTACTGGCAACAAGGTGCTATGAAAAAATCCAGCACTCACATGTGAGCTAACAGGGAACTTCAAAAATTAAGACAAACACCCAACCAAGAATGACAAAATATTTGAGGAAAACTCTAACACTAAAAATGAGAAACACCACCCCCCACGAAGGAGAGAAGTCACATCTAAGGAAATAGAACTAATAGAGCAAGCAACATGACTCACTCTGAGGGGGAAGAAACTGGCTCCGAATATCTTATACCTGAGCCCCAGCTTTGACATTCACAAGCCAAGAATGTATCTTTTTGTATTCTGGTTCCACTGTGACAATCTTCTTTAAGGCAAAGGATGACTCCGTCTAGTTATCTGAATGGTGAAAGAGTTACATACTGGATAAAAACAGGTGGGCTTAAATATCAATATTTTCCCAGCACATCAAAGAATTGTTATGTATGTTATAATATTATGTAACCAACGACTCAAGATGAAAGGCACTAAAAGGGACAAATGGTGATATTTCATACCAGTAAAATAACAATTAACTTGAATTTTTATATATCTCACATAAGCGCTTGTAAATATATAAATCAAAATAAAATAGAAATATCAGACTTCTGATAAGATGATGAAATGAAATTGTATTAGCAATTTTCTCCCTCAATACCTTACCAAATGAGCAATAAGTGGTAAATGCACTCACACACACACGCGTGTGAGCGCACACACACACACGTTGAACACGCACATTATCAGCATCGCCAAACTAGATCGGTAGTTAAGAAGAGAGTCTAGAGCAAAAGGAGGTCCAACTTAGCAACACTGCAGCCTCAACCCCCAGTAGCCTTACTGGAGAACTCACAAAACCCTGAAAATACTTGCTAACGTCATCAAACCTGGAGTGATCTAACCTGAATGGGAATCCTTATCTTTTACTTCTTCTAGGTAGTACACATGGATCCTAGAAAAGAACAGGGGTTGGGAGGAAGTGGGGATGATTAACAGGTACAAAAAGAGTAGTTAGAATGAATAAGACCTAGTATTTGCTAGCATAACGGGGGGACTATAGCCAAAAATCATTTAATTGTACATTTTTACATAAGAGTATAATTGGAGAGTTTGTAACACAAAGGATAAATGCTTGAGGTTTACCCCCATTTACCCTGATGTGATTGTTACACATTGCATGCCTGTATCAAAGAGTCTGATGCAACCCATAAATATATGCACCTATGTACCCACAAAAACTTTTTTTTTTTTCTGAGACGGAATCTGGCTCTTGTCACCCAGGCTGGAGTGCAGTGGTGCAATCTTGGCTCACTGCAACCTCCACTTCCCAGGTTTAAGCGATTCTCCTGCCTCAGCCTCCCAAGTAGCTGGGATTACAGGCACCCGCCACCACGCCCAGCTAATTTTTGTATTTTTGTATTTTTAGTAGAGACGAGGTTTCACCACGTTAGCCAGGCTAGTCTTGAACTCCTAACCTCAGGTGATCCACCCACCTCGGCCTCCCTAACTGCTGGGATTACAGCTACCACGCCTGGCCAGAAAAATATTTTTAAAGAGTAGGGTAGGTAAAAATGAAACTGACTCTCAGACAAAAGGAAAAATTTCAAAACTACCCACTGAATTGGGAAAATGTTCCAAAGAAGAAGAAATCCAAATTGACAAACTTTAAAAAGATTGTTTTAAAGCCCACTGACTGAAGGCCATCAGGAACATTTCTATAGTAGAAAATAGTTTGGTTTATTTACCTTGCTGCAGGAGCGGGGAAAGCACTCCAAAGGAACTGTAGAGGTCTCAACAAGGAATTGAAAGGGGCTTCTCATAGGATTTGGGCTTGTACTAGATTATTTCAAGAAAAGCTGGAGAAGTGAGGATTAGCTGTGAGTTGAGGGTTGTTAATAAGTTAGGGCAATGCAGTGGCTTATCTTAATTCTTATCTAGGAAGTAGGACTAAGGTAAGACTACAGTCGTCATTGGTAAATGAGCAGCAGTCACTCCAGTCAGAAATGGAGAATGTTTTATTGTTTCCATGGTTGCAAAATGGCTTTTCTCTATTTTGTTCCAGACATGGTCATGCAGTAGCCTTGTCTATATCCCATTTATATTCTAGAAAGTATTCTTTATGTTTGTTTGGGAACACCATAACCTGACTGCTAGCTGCCAAAAAGGAAGTGTTACACTTTCTCAAGATAATCAATCTCACTAGCAGTAAGGTAAATACAAATTACAGCAGCAAATACCTCTTTGCACACATCAGATTGACAAAAATAAAAGTAGTAACACCCATTACCAAGGGAAATGTAAGGTAATCATTTTTCTCATACATTGATAATATAGGGTGAATTATTACAGCTTTATAAAATTATTATTGTGGAGAATTTCTAACATATCTAAAAGGAAGACAGTGGTATAATGGACTCTCATTATACCAGCTCCAACAATTGTCAATTCAAGGCCATTCATTTTATCCCTGTTTCCATCCACTTGTCTCTCCCCGATACCTTTCTGAAGCAAATTATTTTATCCATAAATATTTCAGAATGTCTCTTGACCATTATTACATCTAAAAATAGAAAACCAAAAAGTCCTTAATTTAGTGAAACATCTACGCAGTGTTCAAATTTTTTTTTAAGAGACGGGGTCTTGCTCCCTGCCCAGGCTGGAGCGCAGTAGCACGATCATAGCTCACTGCAGCCTCGATCTCCTGGGCTCGAGTGATCTTCCTACCTCAGCCTCCCCAGGACCTGGGATTACAGGCATGAGCCACCACACCTGACCCTGTGTTCAAATTTCCAACTGTCTTGTAAATGTCATGCTTTTTCTATTTTGTTTGAACTGAGATCCAAATAAGGTCCACACATTGATACTGGGTGATATGACCTACAACCTTTTAAAGTAAGTAACATGGCCTTATACACTAAAACCAAAAATATACATACCCTTTGATCTAGTGATCCTAGTCCTAACAATGTAAGGTCGAATCTGAGACTTACTGTGACATTGTAATGACAAAAAACATGAAAACAGCTTGAATGACCATCAATGGGGAAAAAGTAAATAAACATGTACCTCTACAGTAGGAATAACTATGTCACTATTTAAAACAAGTAGGATCTGTAGTGTATTGATCTGGTGGCTGTCCGGATGAATTAAGCAAAAAAAAAGTGGTTAAGAAATATAGTTTATGATCTCACTTTAGTAAAAGCAAATGACAAATTCACAATCTCTAACATATATTTTATATATTTCTATGTGGTGTACATGTGTCTGTATATCTTTGGAGAGGCTTACATGATTATGGAGAAATATGTACAGGCTTACATACCTGGGCAAACAACATTTGCCTGGTGATGGTGGTCATGCTGGTGGTCAACAAAGAATGTATAAGAAGAGCATAAAGGGAGATAACAAACAGATTTGCAAAATTGGAAAATATTCACAGTATGCTAAGTGAAATGTATAAATCCAAAGTCTAACCACAATATTGTTAAAATATGTAAAACTGAATATGTAATGGTAACTAGGACAAAGGACAACTTAATGTGAGTAGTAGATTTTTGTCTTGGATGTCTTTTTTCACAAGAAAGTAACATTGGAACAAAGAAAAAATAGCATTTTATATATCATTATTAATTAAATGCATATTAGAACAAAACATGAGAGCACACCAACTTTTGTCTATTGATTTTGTCAATAACATGAATGCAGAAAATGTTCAGATAATTATTCTGTACAAAATGGTGTTAATAACTTCAGTTCTTTGCTACCTCAAGGTAGACCTCATACTTGGTCAAAACCACCTCCAAACAATCCTGGAATGCCTGGTTTTATGCAGTTACCCAATAACTCCTGTAAAACTAAGGTGGACATTGTGGTCATTAATGCAATTTGGCTTGAATTGGTGTCCTAATCTAATTATTACTCAAATCAGAAATGTAAAACAATGTCATTGTTTCCTACTACACTTGCTGCTAATGAACAAGTTGTACAAAGACAGGATTTGCTCAACTCATCCTCCCTCAAATCATTTCCTACATTCTTCTAACTTAAAGGATTGCTTTTGCCCAGGTTCTTTTGAGCTCTGCTTGCCCCGGAGTCCACATGCCCCATGAGTAAACTGGCTCAATTCTCCCACTACCTCCCTCCACTTAGTTAAAATTCATGAACTACCATAGTGCCTTAAAACATTATGCACCTGGCCAGGCGCGGTGGCTAACGCCTGTAATCCCAGCACTTTGGGAGGCCAAGGCAGGCGGATCACGAGGTCAGGAGATCGAGACCATCCTGGCTAACACGGTAAAACCCTGTCTCTGCTAAAAATACAAAAAATTAGCCAGGCGTGGTGGCGAGCACCTGCAGTCCCAGCTACTTGGGAGGCTGAGACAGGAGAATGGCGTGAACCGGGGAGGCGGAGCTTGCAGTGAGCCGAGATGGTGCCACTGCACTCCAGCCTGGGGGACAGAGCAAGATCCGTCTCAAAAAAAAAAGACAAAAACATTATGCACCAATGCAGGCAACTATAAACAGAAATATAAAGCCAATGTTGGAGTTGTACGGTCATAAAATGATTCAGAATGTGCTTATAATTTTTAATACTATTGCTCACCTGAAAATTACAAAATTACTTTTTCTTTTTTTTTTTTTAACCCTAGAATTTGCAGACTCCCAGGAGGTCTGGGCACTCAAATAGAGAAAGAGAGTTAGGATTTTACAAAGCTTATTGATGAAAGCAGGTAGGATGATATCATCAATTAGCCTGCTAACTAAACTCTAATTTAGAGCTGACTGGCCTTGCAATTGGGAGTAACTGTTTAGTTCCTTTCTTTCCTACTTCTTCACTTGGACCATTCCCCTATCACACAATGCTCTTTGGAACATTTGGACAAATAATTCAACTTTAAATCAGCAATTCCACTTCTAGAAATTTAACTTAAACAGATAGATATCTGGTCCAAAGTACAAAGATGTATGTGCAAGAATGTTTAAAGTAGCAAGATAATACTGTAAACATCCTAAATGTTCATTATTTGGTGTCTTGTTGAATATGCAAGCAATGTAATACTTTGTAAATGTTAGCTATTCATATAGATTTCACTGTTACTGAAAAAGATGAACAGCATAGGAGAAAAAAGTCAACGTATATGAACACAGTTTAAAGAAAAAGCTACAAATAGCCAATGAGCACTTTAAAAGTGTCATAACTTCACTCATAATGAAGTAAAGGCAATCAGGACAAGATACCAACCTTAAATTATTGGATTGGCAACAACTAAAAAGTCTGATAACCAGTGCTTGAAGAATTTGGGGAAATAAGCACTCCCAAGTGCTTTTGTTGATACGTTATTTGGTGCAACCTTTCTGGATGACAATTTGGGAATTTCTATCAATATGTAAAACACACATCTTCTAACCCAGTCCCCCATGCTTAAGAATTTCCCGGGTCAGGTGCAGTGGCTTACGCCTGTAATCCCAGCACTTCGGGAGGCCAAGGCAGGCAGATCACGAGGTCAGGAGATCGAGACCATCCTGGCTAACAGGATGAAAGCCTGTCTCTACTAAAAATACCAAAAAAAATTAGCCGGGCGTGGTGGCGGGCGCCTGTAATCCCAGCTACTCGGGAGGCTGAGGCAGGAGAATGGTGTGAGCTCGGGAGGCAGAGCTTGCAATGAGCCAAGATGGTGCCACTGCACTCCAGCCTGGGCGACAGAATGAGACTCCGTCTCAAAAAAAAAAAAAAGAATTTCCCTGCAGATATGCTGGCAAGACTTCTTAGAAGCTCAAAGATGTTGTTGTAACATAATTGGTAATAGTAATAACAAAAATACACAAAAACCCTAGAAACAACCAAAATATCCATGATAGAAAACCAATTAAATAAATTATGGCACAGCCTAACAAATGACTTTTTAATGTAAGCTGTTAAAAAGTGACAGATATGTTTACCCTGCAGTTAGGAAATAATGCCCATGATAAATTACAAAAGGCAAAGTAAATAACTGTACAGTGTGATTTTTATGGTGTGTTAGAACAGATAAGTATGTGTAGTAAGTAAGTATGTTTTGAAGGATTTACAAGAAACTAATAAAGGTATTTAGTGTTAGGAGGAAGAACTAGGAAAGAGAGGGTGGCTTTCAACTTTCACTTTTCATTTTGTAAGTTTTGGTAGCAAGAATTTACTGAACTCACAAGATGTTTCTTTTAGTTTTACAAACTGTTCAATGAGGGATACCAAGAATGGGAGAACGTGGTATATTTTTTTGCTTGCTTCTTTGTGGTTTTCTATATAAAAGCAAATACGCTATTTTAAAATATGAGCCAATAGACAATATGGATACTATAGATCCATGTTCACTGACACAGAAAACCATAAGGACATATTAATTTAAGAAAACCAACTGTGATGCAATATGCATAGTCTGATCCCATTTATGTAAAAATTTTGCACATGTGAGTATCGGCCATTTAGAGATATCTGGAAAGATGTTATCAAAATATGATGGAGTTACACATTCTGCTTCGTAACCTTTCTCAATTGCTTTAACTTTCTCAAATGAGGATTCTTCAAACATAGGGAATGAAACAAAATTTTTACAAAGGCCTTGATATCACAGCAAATTTGAAGATGGGAAGGAAGCAGGGAGAAAGTATAAGAAAATGATTTAAATAAAGTTATGTAAACTGAGAGGCCGCCTGCTGAAGCAATCCAGTGGAAAAGCTAAGAGTGCCCTGAAACTGGAAGATTAGACCTGGAATCCCACAGAAGGGACAGAATGTTCCCTAGAGCAGGGAGAAACTTGAGCTAGCTGGCTTTAGCATAAACAAAAGCGGGTCTGCAGGCACTGACCCTGCCATGTAATGAAAAATAGAAAAAAGAAAAAATATTTTAAAGATGAATAACCACCAAAAAAAAAAAAATCCCCATTAATAAGGCAGGAAGCTTTGTATTTAGAATGTTTTTACCACAAATGATGGTTTCAAATCTCAATAGCAGGCTGCGTGCGGTGGCTCACACCTGTAATCCCAGCACTTTGGGAGGCCAAGGCAGGCGGATCACGAGGTCAGGAGTTCAAGACCAGACTGGTCAACACAGTGAAACCCCGTCTCTACTGAAAAAAAAAAATACAAAAATTAGCCGGGCATGGTGGCGTGCATGCCCAGCTACTCCCAGCTACTCGGGAGGCTGAGGCAGGAGAATCGCTTGAACCCAGGAGGCGGAGGTTGTGGTGAGCCAAGATCGTGCCACTGCACTGCAGCCTGGGTGATAGAGTGAGACTTCGTCTCAAAAATAAACAACTCTATACCAGAGCAGATATGTTATTCGATAAAGCTAAAAATGTATTTAATTTTAGTAAGTACACATGAATTCAGGTAAATACACAGAAGCAGCTCTAGAGGAATAAACATAACAGCACTGAAAAGGGGGAATTGCGAATCTGGATGGGGGAGGTGGCAAAAGGGGCCTTTAGCCTTGTCTGTAATGCTTTTAAATTTTATAAAAGAAAACCATGCACATAGTGTGTTCTATTTTGGTAAAATAGACGTAACACAAAATTTACCATTATAACCATTTTAAATATACAATTTGGCGGCATTAGTTCATTCACAAAGTTGTGCAACCATCACCACCATCCATTTCCAGAACTCTTTGTCATCCCAAGCTGAAACTCAATACACATTAAACAATAACTCCCCATTCTCCCCTTCCCCAACCCCTGAAAAACCATTATTCCATTATCTGTCTCTGTGAATTTGCCTATTCTAGGTACTTCATAAACATGGAATTGTATATTTGTCCTTTTGTATCTGGCTTATTTCACTTAGCATAATATTCTCAAGGTTCATCCATGTGACATGTTATCAGAATTTAATTCCTTTTCATGGCTGAATATATTATTCTATTATATGTATATACCACTTTTTTTTAATCCATTCATCTGCTGAGGAAGACCTGTTTCTACCTTTTGGCTATTAGAAATAATGCTGCTGTGAAGATTTGCAGACGAGTACCTGTTTGAGTCCCGTTTTCAGTTTTTCTGGGCAAATATCTAGGAGTAGAATTGTTGAATCATACGGTAATTCTACATCTAACTTTTTGAGAAACTGCCAAACTATTTTTCACAGCTGCTTCTCCATTTTACATTCCTACCAGCAACGCACAGTGGTTCCAGTTTCTCCATATCCTTCCCAAATTTGTTTTCTGTTTTTTAAAAAAATAGCCATCCTAAATGGGTATAAAGTAGGATCTCAATGTGGTTTTGATTTGCATCTTCACACATTTTCTCATGTATGAATTTTTCATTAAAAATTATTTTAAAAGAAACCATTTTTTCTTCATTAACCAACTAGTGATACCTCCTTAACTGCTAAGCTCTTTGAGAACAGAGGTAATAGCTGTCCTGCTCACTGCTTTATCCCCGACCCCTAACATAAGCCTAGCATCTAGCAGGTACTCACCAAATACAGTATTCACTGGATGCATAAAATACTACATTAGCCTCTCAATTTACATGAGACTAATGTATGGTTTGGGGGGAGTGAGTCTATGAAAAAGTGTCACCTTAAAAAAAATACACAAATTTCTGAAAAACATACAATCACTTTGGAAGTCTTGGGTAAACGGCACACTTCAAGACAAATCCAGGATGGCCAAGGAAACATAAGTGACATTACTTATAGTTTTAAGGAGGGCAACTTCACAGCCAGTATTCATCCCACCTGGGTTGCCAAGTAAGGGCAGGGTACTTTTAAGCTGTTCTCATATTATACGACCAGGGGTCCTGAGTTTCCTGTATTTCAGGCAGGATGGCTGATGAGAAAGATACAATCTGAACACTCTTATGTCTTGCCACAGTAGAGTAGGCCAGAGCTTGGCCAGAATCAGCAGCAGAGGCCAAAAGAAGTAGAGGGATGCAGGAGATGTTTAGGAGGTAAAACAGACAGGACTTGTTGAGGAAAGGGGAGACACCAAGTGCAATACTCAGGTTTTTCACTTCAGCAATTGCTGGCTGGTGGAGCCATCACCATAAGACACATAAAGAGAGCAGGCTTTTTTGTGGGTGTGGGGAGCATAAAGGTGAGTTTGGCTTTAGACATACTCAACCTGAGAGGCCTACGAGATTCAGCACATGTTTGGATGTATACAACTGGAGTTTTAAGGACAGGACTGGGCTGAGATAAACTCGTGGCAGCCATTGGCATAAAACCAATCACTGAAGCCAGGGAATAGTTGAGATTGTAGAGGGAAGAGGTCCCGTGTGTAAAGGTGGCCGATGTCAGGACTCTAAGGGACATCAAGAGTTTAAGGAGTGAGTAGAGGAGTCAGCTAAGGAGACTAAAAAAAAAGTGGTGAGAGAAGCACAGCATCACAGAAACCTACAGAAGACAGTGTTCCAGCAAGCAGGTAGTCAGACACACCAAATGGTTGTGTATTTTGTTTCATTTTGTTTTATTGAGACAGGGTCGCACCCTATTGCCCCAACTGGAGTGCAGGGGCAGTATCATAGCTCACTGCAGCCTCCAACTCCTGGGCTCAAGGGATCCTCCTACCTCAGCTGCCTGAGTAGCTAGGACCACAGGCATGCACTACCACACCTGGCTAATTTGTTTTTATTTTTGTAGAGACAGGGTCTTGCTATATTGCCCAGGCTAGTCTCAAACTCCTGGCCTCAAGCTATTCTCCCAACTCGGCCTCCCAAAGTGCTGGGATTACAGGTGTGAGAGATCACAACCCTAAATGTTTAATAGCTTTAGATGAAGACAACTTAATGAATCCTTTCACAAGGGTGACTTCACCCATTGGACCAGAATGTCTGAAATCTGCTGGGCATAAACTCCCCGTCCACCAGACCAGTAGTTCTCACAGTGTGGTCCCCAGACTAGCAGCATCCACATCACCTGGGCACTTGTTAGAAATGCAAATTTCAGGGGCCCACCCCCAAAATTCTTTTTCTCAATCAGAAAATCTGATGTGTGATTGTTAGTTCATTCTCGAATTGCTATAAAGAAATGCCTGAGACTGAGTAATTTATAAAGAAAAGGGGTTTAATTGGCTCACGGTTCAGCAAGCAGTACAGGAAGCATAGGAGCATCTGCTTCTGGGGAGGTCTCAGGAACCTTACTATCAAGACGGAAGGCGAAAGGGGAGTGGACATCACATGGGGAAAGGGGCGAGGTGGGAGGTGCCACACACTTTTAAACAACCAGATCTCAAGAGAACTCGCTATCACAAGGACAGTACCAAAGGGATGGTACTAAACCATTCATAAGAAACCACCCCCATGATCCAATCACCTCCCACCAGTCCCCACCTCTAATATTGGGGATTACAATTCAACAGGAGACTTGGGTGGGGACACAGATCCAAACCATACCAGCAACCCAGCAATCTGTGTTTTGTTGGGTTTTTTGTTTTTGTTTTTTTGAGATGGAGCCTTGCTCTGTCCCCCAGGCTGGAGTGCAATGGCACGATCTCGGCTCACTGCAACCTCCGCCTCCCGGGTTCAAGCAATTCTCCTGCCTCAGCTTCCCAAATAGCTGGGATTACAGGCGCCTGCCACCATGCCCAGCTAATTTTTGTATTTTTAGTAGAGACGAGGTGGGCCAGGCTGGTCTCGAACTCCTGACCTCAAGTGATCCACCCGCCTCGGCCTCCCAGAGTGCTGAGATTACAGGCGTGAGCCGCCGCACCCGGCCGCAGTCTGTCTTAACAAACACTCTAGGGGATTCTGATGCTCACCAAAGTGTGAAAAACACTGCATTAGACAGTGCTTGGAGAGCACCTGATAACCATTCCTTTAGGAACAAATTCCCCTCCTATTAAACACATTATTCTTTGGATCTGTTAACATATTTTGCAAAACTTCTGGAGCCTGAGCAGCAGGATTTTGTCAATACCCCACATTTAGTGTACCAATAGGTCCTATCTTGATTTTAATGGTCCTGCCCTACAACCAACCAACCAGCCAACTACCCACCGATTCCTCTACTGGGGACAACCTTTTTCACCTTTATAACTTCTGCTTATTCACAACATCTAATTATTCATGGCCTCTGCTACTTCATGGCTTCTTTTGTGCACCTTTTCAGCTTCTGATCCTGATACCAACTGAACAACTGTCTACGTCAAACTTGTTTAACTCCCTGTTTAACATTAAGAGTTTTTTTTTTTCGCAACTCTTTTCCTTTAGGTCATCAGCTATCATTAGTGTATTTTATGTATGGCCCAACACAATTCTTCTTCCTGGGGAAGCCAAAAGATTGGACACCCCTGCTCTAAATCTCAGTTTAAACTCCTGAGAGACACATATTGTTGGTGAAATCGCAAAACTGGTACAATTTAGGAGGGTAATTTGGCATCATTTATCAAAACTACAAAAACATGGCCTTTGCCCCAATAAGTCCGCTTTTAGGCATTTATCCTACAGATACACATGGGCGTGTGCACCAAAAAGTGGGGTCTCTCTCTCTCCCTTAGCTCGGCCAGAAGCCAGGTCACCTATCCTCGGTCACTCAGGGGCCAGGACCTCTCTCCCTGCCCCTCAGTCAAGGCCCTCTCAGTCCGGGAGGCGCTTCACACCTGGGCAGGGTGGGACTGGGCGCGCCTCACTTCACGCTTTCGTCGGTTGGAAGCAGGTGGGGAAGTCCCCGCGGCCTCGGCGTCTCGCACGCCTGGCCCCAACACCTGCCGAAGCCGGCTGCGACTCCATTTTTCTTTTTTTCTTCCTCCTGGGAAACGGAGGACCCGCGCCGCCACGAAGCACAGCGACCCTGGCCCTGACCTCAGCCGCCCGCCGCCGGTGGGCGGGGCTTGGCGGCCCGGCGGGGCGGGGCTCGGGGCGGGGCCGGCGGGGCGGTGGCCCGGGTTGTAGCCGCCGCCGCTGCCGCCGCCCCCGCCGCCGCCACCTCAGAAGCAGGAACCGAAGTCGTCGCCGCCGCCGCCACTGCCTGGGTCTTCGGTCGGGGCCCGCAGCCATGGAGGATTACATCGTGATCTCGGACGACAGCGGCTCTGAGAGCTCCGGGGGCGCCCGCCCGGGCCGGTCGCGGAGGCTGCGCCGGGCCCTGTCGCGAACCTCCGGCGCGCTGCCCCGCCGGACCGTGGTGAGTGAGCGTCGCCTCGTTTGGGGGCGCGCGTCTTCGCGACCCTCGGCTGGGCCCGCCGCCCGCTTCCCGCCCCTGGCGCCTCACAGCTGCAGCCACTTCCCGCCTTGCCTCCTTCCGGGCCTCTCGGGCCCCGGGGAGCGCGGCGGGCCGGGGCAGGGGCCAGGGCAGGGACCGGGGAGGCCGGGCCTCCCAGGCTCAGCGCTGAAGCCCGAGAGGACTGCGGCTGGAAAGCGGCCGAGCACATGGACGAGCTCCTGGCGCGCCTGCTGCAGGGGCTGGGGTCTCAGGCCGGGGCCGCGGGCGTCCTCGGAGCCTCGGCGGGACGTGGGGGCTCGGGTGTACTGGCCGGGCCGATGCAGGAAAGCGGGAGCGCGTAATTCTTCGGCCTGTGGTGGACACAGATGTGTGCAGGGAGGTAACAGGAGCCCAGGCTGGGAGGGAGGGAAGCGCGGGCCTGGGCCAGATGGTGGCCGCGCTCCAGGGCCTGACTGCAGAGCGAGGGGCCCGATTTTGGAGTTGTACAGGAGGGCGATTTATTTCCTCAGCACTTACCCTGTACCAAGCCCTGAAGGAATAGGGAAGGAAACCTCGCGCGCTATTTCTGTTTCCCTCAGAACCCCTTCGTCTTTGTCGTTCATGAGGTGGTGAATTATCTGCCTTTCGAGAATCCTGCATCGATGTTTATTGAATCCCTACTATGGGCCAGATGTTGTAGGGGCCGGGGATACAACGGCGAACACAATATCCATGGTCCCCTCAGAAGGTGATACATCATCAGGTGGTTGTTGAGGACCTACTCAAGCGGTGGGAGGTGGAGCTTTCTCTCAGAAGGCTTCCAACGATCTCCCCAGCCTCCCAGAGCCATCCCCCGGAAACACAAGGATTATCAAGCTGATGTTATGTGTATAGATCATACAGTTTACCATGCTTCCTATGCAAATACTCGTTCAAGACGTTTCCTAGCTTCTGCTGCCCCTGTTCCCTTTCTAGCTGGTTTACAGTCCCTAAACCTCCATTGGGAACCCCTTCTGTGCCCGAGGTACAGTGCCAAGTGCTAGATGATCACTATAGAATGAATAGCATGCAAAACTAGTTAATATATATTATTTTTCAAGCAAGAGGGTTTCTCAGGACGTCTTAGAGACAAATTTAGTTGAGTTAGGCAGCTCATGAGGTAGTGAGAGAAGAGATTTCCAAGATAGAAATGACCCGACTTCATGAGTGAATGGATATATCTAGGGCTGTGGCTGAATGTATCGGACATAATAGATGCACAATAAATATTTGTTGGATGAAGGAACGATTGAAAGAATATGGGGAGAGAGAATGGTTTAGATGGATGTTTGATAAGTATAAGAGAAGTGCATATAAAAGTAGCAGCAGGCTTGAGATGAAGGAGATGCTGAATTCAGGTTGGACCTGTTGGATTTACAGTGTTAATAGGAAATGTAGATGGATGTGGCCAGCTCAGTAGTTGGAGAAAAGGCAAGAATGGAGATATTTGGCAATCATGCAAACAGAAAGGAGTATTGAAGGCCTAATAGTGACTGAGATCATGAAGGAAAAGAGTAGAGAGAGAAAAAAGGTGGAAGGGAAAAAATACTTCTTTCCTCCTAGTTCCTCCTCATTCCTATAGCCTCTTCTCTCACTACCTGTTTAACTTTGTCCTTCCCACTTGCTTCCTTTCCTCCCAAGTGTTGTCCATTTTCCCTCATTCTCGTCCAGCTTCCTTCTTCAGTGGTCAGATGCCATGCTTATCTCAGTCTTTTGTGGTCTTTCACATACGTACATGGGCGTAGTCTCTCACTGTTTCCCTCACTTGTGACCACTCAAGCAAGCATTTTGATCTTGAGCCTTTGAGTTGAATCGAAATGAGGGGCAAGTTCCAGAGAGCAGTACCCAATTTAAATCGTGCTTCTCCAGATATTTATTCCAGCTCTCTAAAAGCTCCAAGCTTATTCTCGTTTTATCTTTTTTGCAAGTTAGATAAGAGTGGTATGATAACCATGTAAAAGATCAGAGGCATTGAGAGACTTGCAAGGTTATAAAGTCTAAAAGTGCCCTTTTCTCTGTAGCTTTTCCCGAAGGCTCTGAGGTCAGAGAGACTTCTGAATCAATATCTCCAGCATAGCAACTATTTGAGTTTTGGAAAGTTCTGTCAACTCTCAGCTTTTGAGCCTGAGAACATTAATGCCTACCTAGCAGGATGGTTTTAAATTTTTAATGAGACAATTGCAAGGAAAGGATCTCATATAAATGATAGCTTTTGCCACTTTTTGTGTTGTTTCTAAGCCCAGTCCTGTCCCTCTTGAGCTTCACAGGCAATGAAATAAAAGAAGCAACTTTTACATCTTGCTTTTTTTTTTTTTTTTAATAAATATTGACTAAGGGGAAGTAACTTGCTTGAACTTGAGAAAGCCATGTCTAATGCTGAAGTTGACATTTCTGAACTCTTGATTCTTAACCTGGGCTTTAGTCTTCACTGAGTCGATGAGGTGTGTTTCTGTGTTTATCATGGCTTTTTCGTTTGGGATTTTTTGTTTTTCGTTTTTTTACTTATAAAAACAGAACATTTTCAGATGGTTAATTTTGTTGATCTAATTATACAATTTTTATAAATGTATAAAGAAGAAAATTAAAATTGCCCGTAATCTCACTATCCAAAGATAACCAATGTTAACATTTTGATGTATGTCTATGTAAATGTTTACTTGCATACACACATGTGCATACATACATACCTATGTGTCCTCCCCATACATGTTTTTATGACCTCCTCTTAATGGATATTATGCCTTCGTTTCTAAATTTTCTCTAAGAACCCAGTGAAAAATTCCCTCATAATCTTTGTACTCTTGTTCATTTGTTTATTAAGTTCCTCTTAGAAGTTAGATTGCTGAGTCAAAAGGTGTGCCCTACTTTATATGTAGCTAATCCTTGAATAACACGGGGATTAGGGTTGCTAACCCCCCCGTGCAGTTGAAAATTTACATGTGACATTTGACTCCTCGAAAACTTAACTACCAGTGGCCTACTGTTGACTGGAAGCCTTACCAGTAACATAAGCAGTTAACTCATGTTTTGTATGTTATATGGACTCTTACGATAAAGTAAGCAAGAGAAAAATGTTAAGATCATAAGGAAGATAAAATACATTTACAGTACTATACTGCATTTGTCAATACCATAGGTTTACATCGTCTGTTTACAAGATAAATCATCTGTCTGAAATAGGGGACAACCACAGCTGCAGACCTCTATCTACGGTACATCTCAAGCGATTCAGCTTTTCTTATGTCATGACTTTTCTCTGTTTCTTGAGAGTACATCCAGCATCACTAGTAGCACTTTGTATGGGTTTCATGGTGTTATTCAAGGTTTACGATATTACCCTACACATGATTAAACAAGTATATGTGGAAAAAAACCCAGGAGAGAACACTTGTTACCATGATACACAGTTTACTGGGAAGTAGTGCAGAAATTGATTAGTGTGACATGGCGTTTTAAGTGGATCCTCACAACACTTGAGCCCACCACAGCAGCAGCAGATGTCTGTGGTAGTAGGACATTATTATCACAGTAGTACAGTGTAGTCTATGGTAAATTTTATGCAGTTGTGATACAAATTAAAAAGAAAAAAATAATGAATTTAAAAATATGCAGTTGTGAGTTAATATTGCATCTTTACATTTCTGTCAACTGCAGATGTCACCATCTATGGTCAGTAAGTGATTGTGTGCATAAATTTTGATAAAGTTTAACTTTGTATAATAGATTTGTGTTGATTTTATGGTAGTAAATGGATAAAATAGGCTAGTATCTACATATATTTTATGCATTCAGGACATATCTTTTTCTTAGTTTTTTTCAATTTTTGTAGGCTGTGGAGTTCATCTGTGAGTTTTTCAGATTGTTATAAATCGCCAAAAAATTTTCCAATATATTTATTGAAAAAAACTCTCTTGTAAGTGGACCCATGCAGTTCAAACCTGTGTTGTTCACGAATCAACTGTATTGCCAAATTTCCTACAGAAATTGTGCATTAATATTCTTACCAGTGGTATATGGCCAATCATATCCCTTTCTCTGCTGCCTAGTCACCCCTAGGTATTGTTACATTATTCCATAAATATTTATTGAACACTTATTATATACCAGGCACTCTTAGAGGTGCTGGGAATACATCTATGAAAACCAAGTCCCTGCCGTCATGGAGATTTCATTTTACTGAGGGGACACAGATAGTAAACAGCACTATAAATGTAATGTCAGGTGATAATACAGAGTGTTAGGGGAAAAAATACGGTATTTTTGTTCTTTTAATCTTTGCTGTTTGATAGCCAGATTCCATAAGATGTCATTATTTTTTTATTATGATTCATTTATTCAATAAATATTTATTGAGCATATGCTGTAACCCTGGGGACCAGAGGTGAACAAGATGATAATGGAACTACATTCTGCTGTGGAAAGATAGGCAGTAAACAAACTAACAAATAAGAGAACAGTATAATAGTAACTTTGGTGGGATTGGGAACATTTGATTGTGTTTTCAGAGAAGGCCTCTCTGAAGAGTTAATATTTGACCTGAGACTAAAATGACAACAAATTAGTTATAAGATCTAGATGAATAAGGCATTGTCAAAGGGAACAACAAAACCAAAAGTTTGGAGGCAGGAATGAGCATGACTTACTGGAAGAATGGAAAGCCAGTGAGGCTGCAGTGTAACGACTGATGGACAGAGTCAGAAGAGATGAGAAGTAGGTAGGTTAGGTTATAGGGCTTTGGAGACCACAATAAGGGATTTGGATTTTATTGTAATACAGTAAGAAATCTTTGAAGGTTTAAGCAGGACAGTGACATGATTTGATTTACCTTTTTTTTTTTTTTTTGGAGATGGAGTCTTGCTCTGTTGCATTGCTCAGGCTGTAGTGCAGTGGTGCGATCTCGGCTCACTGCAACCTCCACTTCCCAGGTTCAAGCAATTTCCCCCAACTCAGCCTCCCGAGTAGCCGGGACTACAAGCGCACCACCACGCTTGACTAATTTTTTGTATTTTAGTAGAGACGGGGTTTCACCATGTTGGCCAGGATGGTCTAGATCTCCTGACCTCATGATCCTCCCGCCTCGGCCTCCCAAAGTGCTGGGATTACAGGCGTGAGCCACTGCACCTAGCCTTGATTTACATTTTTTAGAGATGACTTTAGCTACTGTGAAAAGAAAAGATGGTAAGGTAGGGAGACCATATAATTTATCATCCAATTGGGAAACTTTTGCAAATGAAAAGGGATGCTAACTGGACCAGGATGTCAAGCAACAGGTGAAAACTGGAACTGTCCCAAACAAAGCAGAAGTGTAGTCACCCTACTGTAAGAGGGGAAGAGTGAAATTAGGGAGATCAGTTAGAAGGTTGGCTGTAGTAGTCCAGGTCAGAAATAACTGTAGCTTGGACTGGAGTGGTGGTACAGACTGGGAGAGTGGAGGGATGTAGATATTTAGTAAATAAAATCAACAGGTCCTGATAACTTGGATGTGGATAACAAGGGAAAGGAAGGAATGAAGAAGGATGCCCTGAGTTCTGGCTTGAGCAACTGAATGCATGTTGGTGTCATGCATTGAAATGAAGCAGACTTGGGAGGAACAGGGTTAGAGGAAAGATTCAAGAGTTCTGTTTTGAAGGTATAAAACTTAACGATGCCTGTGGAATAGCCAACTGGAGATGCCAAGTATAACATTTGTACTGAGTTTAGAGCTCTGAAGAAAAGTCCTGACTAGAGATACAAATTTAGTCTTGTTAGCGCATAGGTTATAGTGAAGTCATTGACCTGGATAAAATCATCTAGGTTGAGGTGACAAGAGGAAGAACATCCAGAACCTAGCCCAAGGGAACACCATAGTGCATAGCCCAAGGGAGGAAGAGCAGCTAGTGAGGTTGGAGATAAAGGAGTGTGCTCACATATAGTACAGCCAGACATCTTGCTTATGTTTATTGGAAACACATAGGGTATGTGTGCAAATTCCCTATGCTTGTCCTTTGCCCATTTTTCTGTTGCGGTATTATAATGTTTCTTTTTTTTTTTCCTTTTTTTTTTTTTTTTTTTTTTTTTTGAGAGGGAGTTTCACTCTTGTTGCCCAGGCTGGAGTGCAATGGTGCAATCTCAGCTCACTGCAACCTCCACCTACCTGGCTCAAGCGATTCTCCTGCCTCAGACTCCCAAGCAGCTGGGATTACAGGCATGTGCCACCATGCCCAGCTAATTTTGTATTTTTAGTAGACACGGGGTTTTACCATGTTGGTCAGGCTGGTCTCAAACTCCTGACCTCAAGTGATCCACCCGCCTCGGCCTCCCAAAGTGCTGGGATTACAGGCATGAGCCACCGCACCCGGCCAACATTTCTTATTCATTTGTTAAATCTACTTATATATTAAAGATTGGTATAGGTGGAACTGTATCTCCTAAAAAGCTGTGCTGAAGTTCTAACCCCCCACTACCTCAGATTGTGACCTTATTTAGAAATAGGGTCATTGGCAGATATAATCAGTGAAGATGAGGTTGTGCCGAGTAGAGTGAACCCTTAATACAACATGACTACTGTCCTTATGAGAAGAACATGTGAAGACACAGGGGAAGAACGCCATGTGACAGTGGAAGCAGAAACCGAAGTTATGCAGCTGCAAGCCAAGGAACACCGAGGACTGCTGGCGACATCAGGAGCTAAGAAAAAGGCATGAAACAGATTCTTCCCTGGAGCCTTCAAGAGAACGTGGCTCTGTAGACACCTTGATTTCAAACCTTTAGCCTCCAGGACTGTGAGGGGATAAATTTCTGTTGCTTAAATCCACCTAGTTTCTGGTAATTTTTACTAGGAAACTAATATAGCCTCCTGTCATACATGTTACAATTTTCTTTCAACTTTTGATTTTGTTTTTTTAATTACAGAAGTTTTACATTTTTATATAGTCAATTCTACCACTCCTTTTCTTTATGATTTCTTAGTTGTCATGCTTATGTCAACCTAAATAACAGACAGCGACTATCTAAAAAGAAAGTGATATTTATTCAGGAATGGCATTGCAACCGGAGTGTGTGAGCCATAATAAACTATGTGTGTATTCAGGGAGGTAAAGGAAGGCAGAAGCTTTTAAAGGAAAAATGAGGAGGATTACATAATTGTTTTGAGATAATTATCGTTATCTGCAAGGATTAATAACAAGGGTGGCTCCAGTCCAAGGTCGAGCAGGCAGTTGCTGGGCAGATGTCCTCATGGAAGTATTTTTTTCTGTAAGGTTGTGGTTTTTGCAGAGCCTTTTGTGGTACTTATCAGGCATTTGTGCATAGTAATCCTCCCTTCATGGCCTTCCCTAGCTCTATTTGTCAAGGTTTTTTTTTTTTTTTTTTTTTGAGACGAGTCTCGCTCTGTCACCCAGGCTGGAGTGCAGTGGCACGATCTCGGGTCACTGCAACCTCCACCTCCCGGATTCAAGCAATTCTCCTGCCTCAGCCTCCTGAGTAGCTGGGATTACAGGCATGTGCCACTACACCTGGCTAATTTTTTTGTATTTTTCGTAGAGACGGGGTTTCACCATATTGGCCAGGCTGGTCTCGAACTGCTGACCTTGTGATCCACCCACCTCGACCTCCCAAAGTGTTGGGATTACAGGCATGAGCCACCACGCCTGGCCAGGTGACTCCATTTTGATACTGACAACTCACATTTCCCTCATTTGATCAAGATGTTTTCCCAAAAACATTGCCAATCAGCTTGTATAATAGTTCAGGTGTGTGTGTGTGTGTGTGTGTGTGTGTGTGTGTGTGTGTGTGTGTTTGTCTTGAGATGGAGTCTCACTCTGCCACCCAGGCAAAGTGATCTTGGCTCACTGCAACCTCCACTTCCCGGGTTCAAGTGATTCTCCCACTCAGCCTCCCGAGTAGCTGGGATTACAGGCAAGTGCCACCATGCCTAGCTAATTTTTTATTTATTATTATTATTATTCTTTAAGTTCTGGGATACATGTGCAGAACGTGCAGGTTTGTTACATAGGTATACACATGCCATGGTGGCTGCTGCACTCATCAACCCATCATCTACCTTAGGTATTTCTCCTAATGCAATCCCTCCCCTAGCCCCCCACCCCCCAACAGGCCCCGGTGTGTGATGTTCCCGTCCCTGTGTCCATGTGTTCTCATTGTTCAACTTCCACTTATAAGTGAGAACATGCAGTGTTTGGTTTTCTGTTCCTGTGTTAGTTTGCTGAGAATGATGGTTTCCAGCTTCATCCATGTCCCTTCAAAGGACATGAACTTATCCTTTTTTATGGCTGCATAGTATTCCATGGTGTATATGTGCCACATTTTCTTTATGCGTCTATCATTGATGGGCATTTGGGTTGGTTCCAAGTCTTTGCTATTGTGAATAGTGCTGCAGTAAACATACATGTGCATGTGTCTTTATAGTAGAATGATTTATAATCCTTTGGGTATATACCCAGTAATGGGATTGCTGGGTCAAATGGTATTTCTGGTTCTAGATCCTTGAGGAATCACCACACTGTCTTCCACAATGGTTGAACTAATTTACACTCCCGCCAACAGATTAAAGTGTTCCTATTTCTCCACATCCTCTCCAGCATCTGTTGGTTCCTGACTTTTTAATGATTGCCATTCTAACTGGTGTGAGATAGTGTATCATTGTGCTTTTGATTTGCATTTCTCTAATGGCCAGTGATGATGAGCTTTTTTTCATATGTTTGTGGGCCGCGTAAATGTCTTCTTTTAAGAAGTGTCTGTTTATATCCTTTGCCCACTTTTTGATGGGGTTGTTTGTTTTTTTCTTGTAAATTTGTGTAAGTTCCTTGTAGATTCTGGATATTAGCCCTTTGTCAGATGGATAGATTACAAAGATTTTCTCCCATTCTGTAGGTTACCTGTTCACTCTGATGATAGTTTCTTTTGCTGTGCAGAAGCTCTTTAGTTTAATCAGATCCATTTGTCAATTTTGGCTTTTGTTGCCATTGCTTTTGGTGTTTTAGTCATGAAGTCTTGCCCATGCCTATGTCCTTAATGGTATTGCCTAGGTTTTCTTCTAGGGTTTTTATGGTTTTAGGTTTTACATTTAAGTCTTTAATCCATCTTCAGTTAATTTTTGTATAAGGTGTAAGGAAGGGGCCCAGTTTCAGTTTTCTGCATATGGCTAGCCAGTTTTCCCAACACCATTTATTAAGTAGGGAATTCTTTCCCCATTGCTTGTTTTTGTCAGGTTTGTCAAAGATCAGATGGTTGTAGATGTGTGGCATTATTTCTGAGGCCTTTGTTCTGTTCCGTTGGTCTATATATCTGTTTTGGTACCAGTACCATCCTGTTTTGGTTACTGTAGCCTTGTAGTATAGTTTGAAGTCAGGTAGTGTGATGCCTCCAGCTTTGTTCTTTCGGCTTAGGATTGTCTTGGCTATATGGGCTCTTTTTTGGTTCCTTATGAACTTTAAAGTAGTTTTTTCTAATTCTGTGAAGAAAGTCAATGGCAGCTTGATGGGGATAGCATTGAATCTATAAATTACTTTGGGCAGTATGGCCATTTTCATGATATTGATTCTTCCTATCCATGAGCATGGAATGTTTTTCCATTTGTTTGTGTCCTCTTTTATTTTGTTGAGCAGTGGTTTGTAGTTCTCCTTAAAGAGGTCCTTCACATCCCTTGTAAGTTGTATTCCTAGGTATTCTATTCTCTTTGTAGCAATTATGAATGGGAGCTTGCTCATGATTTGGCTCTCTGTTTGTCTATTATTGGTGTATAGGAATGCTTGTGACTTTTGCACATTGATTTTGAATCCTGAGACTTTGCTGGAGTTGCTTATCAGCTTAAGGAGATTTTAGGCTGAGACGATAGTGTTTCTAAATATACAATCATGTCATCTGCAAACAGAGACAGTTTGACTTCCTCTCTTCCTATTTGAATACCCTTTATTTCTTTCTCTTGCCTGATTCCCCTGGCCAGAACTTCCAATACTATGTTGAATAGGAGTGGTGAGACAGGGCATCCTTGTCTTGTGCTGGTTTTCAAAGGGAATGCTTCCAGCTTTTACCCATTCAGTATGATATTGGCTGTGGGTTTGTCATAAATAGCTCTTATTATTTTGAGATACGTTTCATCAACACCTAGTTTATGGAGAGTTTTTAGCATGAAGTGGTGTTGAATTCTATCAAAGGCCTTTTCTGCATCTATTGAGATAATCATGTGGTTTCTGTCATTGGTTCTGTCAATGGATTACGTTTATTGATTTGCGTATGTTGATCCAGCCTTGCATCCCAGGGATGAAGCCAATTTGATCGTGGTGGATAAGCTTTTTGATGTGCTGCTGGATTTGGTTTGCCAGTATTTTATTGAGGATTTTTGCATCGATGTTCATCAGAGATAATGGCCTGAAATTTTTTTTTTGTTGTTGTGTCTTTGCCAGGTTTTGGTATCAGGATGATGCTGGCCTCATAAAACGAGTTAGGGAGGAGTCCCTCATTTTCTATTGTTTGGAATCATTTCAGAAGGAATGGTACCAGCTCCTCTTTGTGCCTCTAGTAGAATTTGGCTGTGAATCCGTCTGGTCCTGGGCTTTTTTTGGTTGGTAGGCTATTAATTACTGCCTCAATTTCAGAACTTGTTATTGGTCTATTCAGGGATTCAACTTCTTCCTGGTTTAGTCTTGGGAGGGTGTATGTGTCCAGGACATTATCCATTTCTTCTAGATTTTCTAGTTTATTTGCATAGAGGTGTGTATAGTCTTCTCTGATGGTACTTTGTATTTCTGTGGGATCAGTGGCGATATCCCCTTTATTATTTTTTATTGTGTCTATTTGATTCTTCTCTCTTTTCTTCTTTATTAGTCTGGCTAGTGGTCTATCTGTTTTGTTAATCTTTTCAAAAAAACAGCTCCTGGCCAGACATGGTGGCTCACGCCTGTAATCCCAGTACTTTGGAAGGCTGAGGTAGGCATATCACAAGGTCAGGAGATCGAGACCATCCTGGCTAACATGGTGAAACCCCGTCTCTACTAAAAATACAAAAACAAAATTAGCTGGGCATGGTGGCGGGCATCTGTAGTCCCAGCTACTCAGGAGGCTGAGGCGGGAGAATGGTGTGAACCCGGGAGGTGGAGCTTGCAGTGAGCCGAGATCATGCCACTGCACTCCAGCCTGAGCAACAGAGCGAGATTCCGTCTCAAAAAAAAAAGAAAAACCAGCTCCTGAATTCATTGATTTTTTTGAAGGGTTTTTCATGTCTCTTATCTCCTTCAGTTCTACCCTGATCTTAGTTATTTCTTGCCTTCTGCTAGCTTTTGAATTTGTTAGCTCTTGCTTCTCTAGTTCTTTTAATTGTGATGTTAGGGTATCAATTTTAGATCTTTCCGGCTTTTTCCTGTGGGCATTTAGTGCTAGAAATTTCCCTCTAAACACTGCTTTAGCTGTGTCCCAGAGATTCTGGTACATTGTGTCTTTGTTCTCATTGGTTTCAAAGAATTATTTATTTCTGCCTTAATGTCGTTATTTACCCAGTAGTTATTCAGGAGCAGGTTGTTCAGTTTCCATGTAGTTGTGCAATTTTGAGTGAGTTTCTTAATCCTGAGTTCTAATTTGATTGCACTGTGGTCTGAGAGACTGTTATGATTTCCGTTCTCTTGCATTTACTGAGGAGTGTTTTACTTCCAATTATGTGGCCAATTTTAGAATAAGTGAGATGTGGTGCTGAGAAGAATGCATATTCTGTTGATTTGGGGTGGAGAGCTCTGTAGATGTCTATTAGGTCCACTTGTTCCAGACCTGAGTTCAAGTCCTGAATATCCTTGTTAATTTTCTGTCTTGTTGATCTGTCTAATATTGACAGTGGGTGTTAAAATCTCCCACTGTTATTGTGTGGGAGTCTAAGTCTCTTTGTAGGTCTGTAAGAACTTGCTTTATGAATCTGGATGCTCCTGTATTGGGTGCATATATATTTAGGATAGTTAGCGCTTCTTGTTGCATTAATCCCTTTACCATTATGTAATGCCCTTCTTTGTCTTTTTTGATCTTTGTTGGTTTAAAGTCTGTTTTATCAGAGACTAGCATTGCAACCCTTTTTTTTTGCTTTCCATTTGCTTGGTAATTTATTCCTCCATCCCTTTATTTTGAGCCTATGTGTGTCTTTGCACAAGATGGGTCTCCTGAATACAGCACACCAATGGGTCTTGACTCTTTATCCAATTTGCCAGTCTGAGTCTTTTAATTGGGGCATTTAGCCCGTTTACATTTAAGATTCATATTATGTGTGAATTTGATCTTGTCATTATGATGCTAGCTGGTTGTTTTGCCCATTAGTTGATGCAGTTTCTTCATAGTGTTGATGGTCTTTACAATTTGGTATGTTTGGCCAGGCACGGTGGCTCACCCCTATAATCTCAGCACTTTGGGAGGCCGAGGTGGGCAGATCACAAGGTCAGGAGATCGAGACCATCCTGGGCAACATGGTGAAACCCTGTCTCTACTAAAAATACACAGATTAGCTAGGTGTGATGGCACACTCCTGTAGTCCCAGCTACTCGGGAGGCTGAGGCAGGAGAATGGCTTGAACCTGGGAGGCGGAGATTATAGCAAGCCAAGATCATGCCACTGCACTCCAGCCTGGCGACAGAGCAAGCGAGACTCCACCTCAAAAACAAAACAAAACAAAAACAATTTGGTATGTTTTTCCAGTGGCTGGTACCGGTTTTTCCTTTCCATATTTAGTGCTTCCTTCAGGAGCTCTTGTAAGGCAGGCCTGGTGATGACAAAATCTCTCAGCATTTGCCTGTCTGTAAAGGATTTTATTTCTCCTTCACTTATGAAGCATAGTCTGGCTGGATATGAAATTCTGGGTTGAAAATTATTTTCTTAAGAATGTTGAATATTGGCCCCCACTCTCTTCTGGTTTGTAGGGTTTCTTCAGAGAGATCCACTGTTAGTCTGATGGGCTTCCCTTTGTGGGTAACCCGACCTTTCTCTCTGGCTGCCCTTAATATTTTTTCCTTCATTTCAACTTGGTGAATATGACGATTATGCGTCTTAGGGTTGCTCTTCTAAAGATACTCCTCGAGAATTTTTTTGTATTTTTAGTAGAGACGGAGTTTTGCAGTGTTGGCCAGCCTAGTCTCTAACTCCTGACCTCCAGTGATCCACCCACCTCAGCCTCCCGAAGTTCTGGGATTACAGGCATGAGCCACTGTGCCTGGAAATAGTTCAGTTTTGATATCCCTCAGTGCCAGGATGGACCTATCCTGGATTGTTGGTCTCATTCCATGTTGTAGGGAGTCATTGACAACTAGGAGTCAGTGTCAAAACTCTTTTAGCCATGTTTGAGCAACAAGGGAGGTTTGGAGGGAGTAGCTCTCAAGCTAAGTTTACCTGGGGTTCATTATTAAGTTTAATTTTATCAGTTCCATAGGTGTTTCCTATCACTTCAAAGTGCTGGGCCAGCATTATTCTGTTAGGCATTGTAGTTTGGCAGAATTTTAACAAGTAATAGCTACAAAGTTTAAAAAGAAAAATAGAAAGTAAAATGATAATCTCGGTTTGTGTAATAATTTTCAGCCATGAACCTAGGATTCAAGGTTCAATTAAACCTTTGAATCAATTGAATAAATCAAATGACCACGGAGAACTAGGTGACACCTTTTGTAACTGTGTGGCCTGTTTTCTTATTTTGCATATATGGGTCTCAACTTTCCCAAAGGCCATTATCTAGTTACAGCATAAAGTATTAGCAACAGCACAGAAATTTCCTTATTTAACTAATAGATAATATAGACCAATTTTATCATCTAGGATCCCATGACTGGGTGGAATTAAAGCAGAGAGAGAGCAACAGTTGTATTAGGGATGTTGCCAAGGTCACCCACTAGATGGACTAAAGGATCCCTTAAACCAGTTTCTGTCAAGTTACCAACAGAAGCTGCTGATTGTGAAATTTCAATTACACTGTTATCCTGCCAAGTGAAAAAGGTAGGATTAAGAGGAGTAGGAGTCTGATTATGTAGTCTTGTTCTAACGTCTAGGGAAAAGCTGTCTGCAGCATGAAAATGTCAACTTATTGTCCTGGTTTTCAGTTTTGAACGTCTGGTTATGGCACTGGATGGTTTGGTGAACTTTCTGTGTGACTCATCATCAGCCATGAGACTTGCCCCTTAAAATTTATCTAGTTTTAGCTTTTAGGATTTCAGGAACAGAGCAGTTCCTGTTTTTACTAATTTCATGGAAGAAAAGATGGGAGGAATCTAGAAGAATTTAAGATTTAGTTCAGTCTACCAGTGTATAACAGGAACTCAAAGACAATGCACAGGGCTATAATCTAAGAACAGATGTATTAACAGCCTTACTCACTGTAAGGCTGGGAACCCTTGAAGCCAGGCATTATATGCACATTCTCAAATATGATGCTCTAGTTA
The DNA here is from genome assembly GCF_000001405.40 of Homo sapiens. NCBI lineage: Eukaryota > Metazoa > Chordata > Mammalia > Primates > Hominidae > Homo > Homo sapiens. The sequence continues at coordinate 177,657,570 of NC_000005.10, read as the reverse complement.
AAGCCTTGGTAATATATATAACCAATGTTTCCAACTGCATCCTGTTATAAAGAGAGAGCAAATTTTATTAAACTTATGTAAATAATTCTTGCCATAAAAAATAAGAATACTCATGGATAGTTTCTGAATTTTAGAGGAATCAAATAGGGACAAAAAAAATGTTTCCACCTTTGTTCACAAAGTATACCAAATTACTGTAAACTAATAAGTAGCTTAAGAGAAAGAAAAGGTTTCCTTAAAGCTAGAAAACAAAATATTTAAATAAAGAACCTGGCTAGGCATGGTGGCTCATGCCTGTAATCCCAGCACTTTGGGAGGCCGAGGTGAGCAGATCACCTGAGGTCAGGGGTTCGAGACCAGCCTGGCCAACATGGTGAAACACTGTCTTTACTAAAACTACAAAAATTAGCCAGCATGGTGGTGGGCATCTGTAATCCCTGCTACTCCAGAGGCTGAGGTTGCAGTGAGCTGAGATCGTGCCACTGCACTCCAGCCTGAGCAACAGAGCAAGACTCCACCTCAAAAAAAAAAAGAACCAATAATGTTTCAAATAAAAGTCATAAAAACGTTATCTTCAGGACCGGGTGCTGTGGCTCATGCCTGTAATCCCAGCACTTTGGGAGGCTGAGGCGAGCTGATCACTTGAGGACAGGAATTTGAGACCAGCCTGGCCAACATGGTGAAACCCTGTCTCTACTAAAAATACAAAAAATGAGCTGGGTGTAGTGGCGCACATTCGTAACCCCAGCTACTCTGGAGGCTGAGAAAGGAGAATCGCTTGAACCTGGAGGCAGAAGTTGTAGTGAGCCAAGATCGTGCCACTGCACTCCAGCCTGGGTGACAGAGTGAGACTGTCTTTTTTTTTTTTTTTTTTTTTTTTAAAGAAAAAGAGCTAACTTGACTTTAAAGAGATGAAATGTACATGTAAAATAAAATTTTGTTTTCTGTGAAATTTTACTTCAGAAAATATCCTGACTAAAATAAACAAATTAAAAAATGAGTACTCCTAAAAAAAAAAAAAGAAAAGAAAAGAAAGAAAGAAAGTAAGAAAGCCAAGAGCACAGAATCAGGATATACTGGAGGAAAACAACTTTTCTAGGCCTTCAAGATAGAACATTTCAGTGTCAGGCCGTTAAAGCAGAGTTAGAGCTGGAGAAAAAAAGTTACAGAAGATGAAAAAGTTAAAAGAGAATTATCACCTCACCAAACAAAAAGATATACTGTCTCAAGGAGAGAAAGTGGAAGACCAAAAGGCAGAAATGTCTGACCTGCAAATCACATGAAACAAGATACAGCAAAAGTTTAACTACTGAGATGTGAATCTGAGAAGCTTCCACAGGAAAACTCTACCTCAAAATATGAAATTACCATTCTAAATGAAGAAGATTCATTTTAAAACTGATATTAGAGAAAGGAAGACTAAAAAACAAACAAACAAAAAAGCTGCACTTCAGAAGATAGTTGAAAATTTAAGAAACAAATTTCAGAATTAGGTCAAAATCTCTTGCAAATGTTATTAAAAGCAGATCAATACTTCAAGAAAACATTGTTCTAATATAGGAGACCAAAATTTTAGTTTTCATATCAATGTGTATATAAATATATATACACACATGTATTTTTTAATTGAAGCAGTCTTTAGAAATACTTATAAGTAAGTTTCTTCTAATTATAGCCAACTTGGTCACCACAAATTTCTTTTGTAAATTCATCCTTCGCAAACTTTCCATGATATGTTTAGACCTTCTATGGCATGTTTAGACCTTCAGTTTTGTCCTTCTTTCTTAAATAGTTAGTCATTTTACTTAAGGATAAAATTTAATTTCTTGCCTTATTTCTAAGACAACAACAAATCTAAGACTTGCTGTCATTTTAAAAACACCTTTTCTAAAAAGAAACACTACCACATGAAATGCACACATTAATTATAGTATACATCCTGGTTATATATGTATTATGGAAACATTCCACATATTAGATTATAAAATATGGTGTTATCAATTGTGTCAGTCATTTTAAAACAATTATCTTTTCTCCAATTATTTGTAACATTTTTTGTTTTAGAATCTCACTGTTACCCAACCTGGAGTGCAGTGGCAGAATCATAGCTCATTGCAGCCTTGAACTCCTGGGCTCAAGTAATCTCCTGCCTCAAGTCTCCTGAGTAGGCAGGACTATAGGCAGACACCACCATGCCTGGCTAATTTTTTAAATTAATTAATTTATTTTTTGGTAGAGACAGGGTCTCACTATGTTGCCCACACTGGTCTTGAACTCCTTGCCTCAAGTGGTCCTACCACATTGGCCTCCCAAAGCACTGGGATTACAACATGTGTGAGCCACTACACCTGGCCCGTAACATATTTTTATACCAAATTATTTTATTTACTTGTGTTTCTGGGTTTTCCATTATGTTTCATTGATTTCTTTATTCAATACCATAACTTTCCTGTTTTATTTTTATAGTTTGATATATCTTTCGGGATTTCATAAAGCAGTATATGTGTTAGGCTGTTCTTGCATTACTGTAAAGAAATCCCTGAGAATACTCATCTCTCACCTTATGCAAAAAATCAATTCAAGATGGATCAAAGACTTTTATATAAAAATTTTTTAAAATTAAAAAACAAAAGAAATGCCTAAGACTGGGTAATTGATCAAGAAAAGAGCTCACAGTTCCAAAGACTGTACAGGAAGCATGGTGCCGGCATCTGTTCACCTTCTGATGAGACTTCAGGAAGCTTACAATCATGGTGGAAGGCACAGTGGGAGCTGGCACGTCACATGGAGAGAGCAAGAGAGTGAGAGTGGGGGTGCGAAGGTGCCACAGATGCAAACAACCAGATCTCGCAATAGCTCATTATTGTGAAGACAGCACCAAGCCATGAGGGATCTGCCCCCATGACCCAAACACCTCCCACCAGGCCCCACCTCTAACCTTGGGGATTACAATTCAACATATGGGGAATACATACATATGTACGTATGTGTCTCCTTACTATTTTTCCCCCCAAAAAAATGTCCTGGCTATTTGTACCCATTTGTTCCCCCAAATGAATTTTAGAATAATTTTGTCAAAGACTGCATTAGATTGTTTCTTTGGGCCGTATAATTATTTGTTGCATGGGGTTGTCCTATGCACTGTAGGATATTTAATAGCATCTCTGACCTCTACCCGCTAGATGCCTGCCAGTAGTAACCCCTCAACTTGTGACAATCAAAAATGTCTCCAGACATTGCCAAATAGCCCCTGGGTAGGGGGTAAAATTGCACCAGTTCAGAACCACTACATTAGTTTTATAAGTTAATTAAAGGAGAGTTAATGTCTTTACAATATTGTCTTTCTAAGCAGAAGTATAGTATAACTTTCATTTTATGAGATTTGCTTCTTGGTGATCAGTAAAACTATAAGACTTCCTTGGGTTTGGTGCCTTTTTATGGAGCTAGTGTTTTGATTCTGAATGACTATGTGCTATGTAGGGTTAAACATATCAATCATGGTAAGCATCACATAATAAGAATAGCTGGCATTTATGCCAGGTACCATGTCAAGTGCTTTACTTGGATTAACTCATAATCTTCACTGCAACCCCATGAGGTAGGTAGTATTATTATCCCTGTTTGGTAAATGAGGAAACTAAGGTAGCTTCAACCAGATGCTAACTAGTAGAGCAGGTTTACCACTGCTTGTCTCCATCTTTAAGATCCTGGGGCAAACTTTTTCAAACCTCATACCAGGTTTCCAAGGGAACATCAGGTGGGGATGGTAGTAGTAAACAGTTAAGTGGAAAAAAGCAAGTCACAAAATATAATTCTATTTTTTAAACGGATGGTTTTGGAAAAATAGACTCACGAGAGTTTTTTAATACAAAAATTGTTTTTTAAAACTCCTTTTTTTTTTGAGATAGAGTCTTGCTCTCTCACCCAGGCTGGAGTGCAGTGGCACAATCGCATAAGTTAGTGAACTTATTAATATAATATTCACTACAGCTGTATGGAGCTGCCATAGAATAGAAAGGAAAATTCATCTACATTTTGAATTTAATACATCAGATGTGAAATTAACTTGGGTCTTAAATCAAGTTCAGCTTCCTTGAAAGCCTGCAGATCACTTCCAACATCCCTCATTTATCCTGAGCTGTCTTTGGGAGGTTGGTGGGTCTGGCTACCCATGAAGACAAAGTGTTCCTTCCTGTCTGGTAGGGATTTAGTTTTGTATTTTTGTATTAGCTAATTTGTAAAGTGTTACCTTATTCCAGTGGGTCTTTTAATAACAGCTTTATTAAAGTATAATTCCATACCATACCATAAAATTCTCTGAGTTGTGCAGCCATCACCACTATCTAATTTTAGAACATTTACTTCACTCCAGAAGGAAACCCTGTACCCTCCAGTGGGTTCTCTGATTTGCTTATGTTTTAAAGGTACATAATCATATCATTCGAAAAATAATTTTTTCCCATTTTAAATTATAAACATTAGGCTGGGTATGGTGGCTCACGCCAGTAATCCCAGCACTTTGGGAGGCTGAGGTGGACAGATCACTTGAGTTGGGAGTTCGAGACCAGCCTCGACAATATGGTGAAACCCCATCTCCACTAATACAAAAAATCAGCCAGGCATGGTAGTCCAGCTACTTGGGAGGCTGAGGACTGAGAATCACTTGAACCTGGGAGGCAGAGGTTGCAGTGAGCCAAGATGGCTCCACTGCACTCCAGCCTGGGTGACAGAGCGAGACTCCATCTGGAAAAAAAAATTATAAACATTATTTTTAAATTGTAAATAGGCCAGGCGTGGTGGCTCACGCCTATAATCCCAACACTTTGGGAGGCTGAGGCAGGCGGATCACCTGAGGTCAGGAGTTCAAGACCAGCCTGGCCAACATGGCAAAACCCTGTCCCTACTAAAAATACAAAAGTTAGCTGGGAGTGGTGGCACGCGCCTGTAGTCCCACCTACTCTGGAGGCTGAGGCATGACAATTACTTGAATCTGGGAGGTGGAGGTTGCAGTGAGCCGAAATCGTGCCACTGCACTCCAGCCTGGGCAACAGAGCAAGACTCTATCTCAAAAATAATAATAATCATAAACTGTAAATACAGGTAAGAAATTCTTATGTAAGAACCTGCCCCTATCTATTTCTACTCTAGATAACTACAGTTTTTGTGTATTGCTCCAGAAATTTTCCTTGTGTGTGCACAAACATATTTAAATGTATAATTCTTTCCCAATGGGGTCATGCTAACTTTTTAAAATTACTTAATATATTATAGGCATTAAAATAAAAACTAAAATTTATATATATTTATATATAATTAGTATATATATTTTAAAATTAAAAAATATGTAATAGACATTTAAAAAATTCATACCTCATTCAGACCATTATTCATTTTGCTTGCAATGGTATTCCCAGTGCACAACATGGTGCCTGGTACATTGTAAGTATTCATTCAATAATCGTTTTATCAGCTGCATGTTATTCTAATGTTAAAAAAACATAATTACTCAGGAATGGAAAACCAAACATCGTATGTTCTCCCTCATAAGTGGGAGCTAAACTATGAGGATGCAAAGGCATAAGAATGACTTTGGCGACTCAGGGAAGGGGTGAGAAGGGGGCGAGGGATGAAAGACTACAAATTAGGTTCAGTGTATACTGCTTGGGTGGTAGGTACACCAAAACCTCACAAATCACCACTAAAGAACTTACTTGTGTGACCAAATACCACCTGTTACCCAAAAACCTATGAAACTAAAAAGAAATTTTAATAAAAATTTTTAAAAACCAAACTTAGCCAGTCTCTTATTGATTTTAATTTTTTTGATGTTAGACTATGATATGATGAATCCTCTTGCATGGTCATTAAAATACGGTTTTTTTCTCTGCATTTTATGGTTAAAAAAGGAAAAAAAATGTTTGTAGGACAAGTTCCTTGCAGTGGAATTTTGAGGATAAAGAGTAATATGTCTTTTTTTATTTTAATATATACCACTATTGTGGACATTATGTCATTCCTTGTGACATCCTAGTTTCTGAATCTCAGAACACTAGGAGTGTACAGAACTCCCACCTTCAGAGATACAATCTACTTCTGTGTAAAGAAGCAGAAATGGCAGATGCTCACTTTCCCAGGCTCTGGTACACCTAGTGCTCAGACGTGGGACCTAGGTTCTACCAGAAGCTGGTGACAGGAAGAAGCAGGGCCCAGGTGAACTCCAATTTAGTGAAGATGGCAGCAGCAGTGGCAACTACATACAGCAGTAGTAACATTCTTTGTTTTTTTCTTTTTTTTTTCAGACGGTGTCTTGCTGTGTCACTCAGGCTGGAGTGCAGTCGCACAACCTCAGCTCACTGCAACCTCTGCCTCCCGGGTTCAAGTGATTCTCCTGCCTCAGCTTCCTGAGTAGCTGGGATTACAGGTGTACGCCACCATGCCCAGCTAATTTTTGTATTTTTAGTAGAGATGGGGTTTCGTCATATTGGCCAGGCTGGTCTCAAACTGCTGACCTTAAGTGATCTGCCCACCTCAGCCTCCTAAAGTGCTGGGATTACAGGCACAAGCCACCGCGCCCGGCTGCTTTTCCTATTTGAAATGAAGTTATGAATCATCTTATCTGTTACTTTTTAAAATCCCATTGGAATTTTGTTTGTAATTATTAAGCTTATAGATCAATTTGGGTAGAACAAATGCTTTTTAAAATTTAAATTTTTGTTATAAAAGGTGTATGATGGCTGGGCACGGTGGCTCACACCTGTATTCCCAGCCAGCTCTTTGGAAGGCCGAGGCGGGTGGATCACTTGAGGCTGGGAGTTTGAGACCAGCCTGGCCAACATGGCGAAACCCCATCTCTACTAAAAATACAAAAATTAGCCAGGTGTGGTGGCATGCACCTGTAATCCCAGCTACTCTGGAGGCTGAGGCAGGAGAATCACTTGAACCCAGGAGGTGGAAGTTGCAGTGGGCTGAGATCATGCCACTGCACTCCAGGCTGGGTGACAGAGCAAGACTCTGTCTCAAAAAAAAAAAGGGAAAAAAAAGTTTTATGAATAAGTAATTTAAGTAGACCTATATTCAATAAAGAAATAGAATCAATAATTATTAGTAACCTTCCAAAACAGAAAGCCCCAGGCCCAGATGGGTTGGCGAGTGAATTCCAACAAATATTTAAGGAAGAAATGATATAAATTCTCAACAATCTTTCAGAGAATAGAAGCAGAGGGACTACTTGCTAACTAGCTCTATGAGACCAACATTACACTAATACCAAAGCAAGACAAATTATAAGAGAAAACTACAGACCAATATCTTTTATGAACACAGATGCAAAAATCCTCAACAAAATATTAGCAAATCAAATCCAACAATGTTCAAAAAGAATTACACATCGTGACCAAGTAGGATTTCTCCCAGGTATGCAAGGTCAATTCTACATTTGAAAATCAATTAAATCCATTAATGCAATTCACCACATCAGTAGGCTAAAGAAGAGAAATCACATGATCCCTTCAATAGAGGCCAAAAAAGCATTTAACACCCATTCATGATTTAAAAAAAAAAAAGCCTTCCAGCAAACTAGGAATAGAGGGGAACTTCCTCAACTTCCGAAAGAACATCTACAAAAAACCTGCCACTAACATCATACCTAATGGTGAAAAACTTGAAGCATTCCTACTAAGATCAGGGATAAGGCAAGGATGTCTCCTCACTACTCCTTTTCAGCATTGTACTGGAAGTCCTAGCTAATGTGACAAAAAAAGAAAACAGAAGAAAAGAAAGATACAGGGCTGGGCATGGTAGATCACGCCTGTAATCTGAGCACTTTGGGAGGCCAAGGCAGGTGGAGTACTTATGGCCAGGAGTTCGAGACCAGCCTGGCCAGTGCGGTGAAATCTCGTCTCTACTAAAAATATACAAATCAGCCAGGCATGGTGGTGAGCACCTGTAGTCCTAGCTACTTGGGAGGCTGAGGCCGAAGAATCACTTGAACCCAGGAAGCAGAGGTTGCAATGAGCCGAGATTGCACCACTGTGCCCCAGCCTGGGTGACAGAGTGAGACTCTGTCTCAAAAAAAGAAAAAGTATGTGGATTGGGAAGGAAGAAATAAAATTGTCTTTGTTCACTGAAGACATGATTTGTCTATGTAGAAAATCTCAAAGAATCTAGAAAAAAACCTCTTGGAACTAACAAGCAATTATAGTGAGTTTGCAGAACACAAGGTTAACATACAAAACTCAGTTGCTTTCCTATATACTAACAATGAAAAAGTGGAATTTGAAATGAAACATACATTACCATTTACATTTACATTAGCACTCCCAGAAATTGAACAAATAGGCGTAAATATAACAAAATATCTACAAAATCTTTATATAGAAAACTGTGATGACGGGTGTCAAAGAAGAACTACATAAATGGAGAAACATTTCATGTTTGCGAATAGGAAAACTCAATGTCATCAAGATGTCAATTCTTCCTGACTTAATTGGTAGATTCAATGCAATCCCAATCAAAATCCCAGCAATTTGTTCTATGAACATCAACAAACTGATTGTAAAGTTTATATGGAGGGACAAAAGATTCAGAATAGCTGTCTTAGTTCATTTTGCATTGCTGTAAGGGAATACCTGAGGCTGAGTCATTTATAAAGAAAAGAGGTTTATTTGGCTCATAATTCTGCAGGCTGAACAAGAAGCATGGCACCAGCATCTGCTTCTAGTGAGGACCTCAGGAAGCTTCCAACCATGGCAGAGGTGAATGGGGAGCAGGTATGTCTCATGGTGAGAGAAGGAGGAAGAGAAAAAAGAACATTCATATTTTGCAGGAACTATGAGTGAGAACTGGCTCAATCCCTTGAGAATGGCACCATGACATTTATGAGTGATCTGTCCCCATGATTCCACCAGGTCCTACCTCCAACACTGGGGATCAAATTTTAACCTGACACTTGGAGGGGCCAAATATCCAAACTATTATTCTTTCCCTGGCCCCCCAAATGTCATATCCTTCTCACATTGCAAAATATAATCATCCCTTCCCAATAATTTCCAAAAGTCTTAACTCATTCCACTATCAATTAAAAAAATGCAAAATCTCATCTGAGACTGAAGGCTAATTTCTTCCAGCTGTGAGCCTGTAAGATGAAAAGCAAGTTATTGAATTCTAAGATACAATGATTGTACAGGCATAGGGTAAACATTCCCATTCCAGAAGGAAAAAAATGGCCAAAAGAAAGGGGTAATAGGCCTCATGTAAGTCCAGAACTCAGCAGGGCAGACATTAAATCTTAAAGCTCCAAAATAATCTCCCTTAACTCCATGTCCTGCATCCTGGGCATACTGGTGCAAGGGGTGGGCTCCTAAGGCCTTGGGTAGCCCCACCCTTTGGCTTTACTGGGGCACAGCCTATATGGCTACTCCCACAGGTGGGAGTTGGGCCTTTGGCTTTTCCAGGCTGAAAATACAACCTGCTGGTGGCTCTACCACTCTCAGCTCTGGAGGGCAGCAGCCTTGTTCTACTAAGGAGTAGCCCAGTAGGGACTCTATGGGGGCTCCAACCCCACATTTCCCCTTGGCACTGCCCTAGTAGAGTCTCTCTGTGGGGGCTCTGCCCCATGGCAGGCTTCTGCCTGGGCATGCAGACTTTCTGATACATCTTCCGAAATCTAGGTGGAAACTGCCAGAATGCGCTCCTGCATTCTGTGTGTCTACAGACTTAACACCACATGGAAGCTGCCAGGGCCTCTGATTGGCAGCCTGAGCCATGCCTGGGGCCTTTTGAGCCCTGACTGGGGCCTGAACAGCCTGAATTTGGATTGGGCTCCTGAAACCATTCTGTCCTTCTAGGCCTCTAGGCCTTTTTCCCATTGTCTTGCTAATTTCTTCTGCAAGTGGTTGCTCTTCAGCCCCTTTAAATTTCTCTCCTAAAAATGCTTGTTCCTTCCCTACCACAGGACTGGGTTGCAAATTTTTCAGACTTTTACAGTCTGCTTTCCTTTTAATTTTAAGTTCAAACCTTAGATCAGCCCATTGCTCCCACATTTGATTGTGGACTGTGAGATTTAGAACAAAGCAATGATATTTGCTTTTACTGCTCCTATTCAGATGGTGCTGGAAGTCTCAGCTGGAGCAATTAGTTAAGAAAAGGAAATAGGCCAGGCATGGTGGCTCATGCCTATAATGCCAGCACTTTGGGAGGCCAAGGAGGGAAGATTGCTTGGGCCCAGGAGTTCAAGACCAGCCTGAGCAAGATAGGGAGATACCATTTCTACAAAAAAAGTAAAATAGGAAAGGGGAATAAAAGGCATACAGATTGGAAAAAAGAAATGAAACTGTCCCTATTTCCAGATGACATGATTGTCTATGCAGAAGATCTCAAGGAATATACCCACCCCCAACAACAACAACAAAACCCTCCTAGGACCTAATTGAGGGAGTTTAACAAGGTCACTGGATAGAAATTCAACACAAGCCTTGACCAGGAATTTTTTCCTTCAGGAGTATAGCCAACTTAGAAGGACTCTCCACTTCAAACAAACAAACAAACAGGATTCTGACCGAAACTAATTTGTCCTGCTAGCCAGGCTGGCAAGAATTAACAGAAGTCTCCAAAGAGTAAAATTAACCAAAAACTGTGAACAGAAACTAGAGTGGCAGGCAGCATATCCCATTATCAACACCATAAGTGGGTGATAAGCCTCGAGTCAGCAGTTTGCTGGTATAGGTGAATCTGACACTTCCAATTTCTTAAATCCAAAGCCCCAAAGGAAAAGTGTTCTGGTTTCTGAGCTTTCTTTGTTTTGCTCTAAAATGTGAATAACATTCACCTCACAATGTCTGAAAATAGGGTTAATTAGGAGGCCTGTTGGAGTTATTTCCTAGTTTCACTCTGCAGATGCCAAATATCGGGATGCCTTAGTAATCTGTGTTTCTCCTCCCTCTGGCAATACAACTGTTAAAATTAGATAATTTGTTATATGTGAAAGTTTAATTGGAGCAATATGTGATGGAAATGCAAATTACTTAATTAGGAGTTAGGGAGAGTATGAGAGAACAATGAAATGAGAATAAATTAACAAATATTATTAGATTAAATTTATTTATTAATCGTGTTGGATCCAAGTACCTTATAGCTACCAAGGATACAGGATACAAAAAGAGGTTATTCTCAAATGGGGGAGAAGATAATTAAGTACCCTGCAAAATGCCTCATGATATGTGCTAAAGTAATATTAGTATATACAGTGTGCTATGGAACCATCAAAGAGGGGAGCAACTGACTCTCTCCAGAATTTGAAGAGCAATGCAGTTGGATTCTACTTCCAATCTGTGAAACTGCCTCACAGTTAAAGTACTCTCTGAGGGCCCGGTGAGAAATCAGGCAGATACCAGAGAGGAATCTATTCTTACAAGATAGCTGCATAGGGTGATATCTGTGACTTTGCGGCTTTTTTAACTGATTGCATTCCCCAGTCATTTGCAACTTGGGTGGCAGAAAGCTGAGATTTTATGGACTTGAAATGTCAGGGGACAGAGGTCAAGGCTGGCGGAGCAAGAAATTACAGAGGAATCCCTGCAAACAAGAAAAATCATACGAAGGGTGAACTGCAAAATTTTAGTATAATGACTGCTCAGGTGGTTGGCTGACAGCCAAATTATGTAGGCACAACAGAGGACCCCCCCCCCGCCTCCCGCCTCAAGAGGCCAGGTTAAAACAACAGCAGCTGGAAACCATAAGAACAAAGATATCAGTACCTATATTGTGCAAGGGAGACAAAGTTTGCAGTTCGAATCTAGGCAGGTTAAGTATTAATATCTACTAGAACAACAAAAACCCCACAACAATTCTTAGAAGAACACAGTTAAACCCAGTGTCTAGGCATGCAAAGAAACAGAAGTGTGACTCATACTCAAGGAGGGGGAAAGGGCAGTCAATAGAAACTGACTCTGAGTGAGCCTAGTTGTTGGATTTAACAGAAACTTCAAAGCAATTATTGTAAATGTGTTCAATGAGTTAAACTATGACATCAATGAGTGGGGTGGAAAATCTCAACCAAGAAATGGAAACTATAAAAATGGAAATTTGAGAGTTGAAAAATACAGTAACTGAAATTTTTTAAAAATCTAAATAGCTTCAACAGTAGATTAGAAAACAAAGCAGATTGGCAAAAGAAGCCATGAAGTTCAAGCTAGATCAATAGAAATCACCCAGTTTCGAGAAACAGGGGAGAAAAAGATGGAATAAAGTTGAAAAGAGATATGTAGGGCAATATCAAACAATCCATAATAGGTATAATTAGAGTCTTAGAAGGAGGGGCAGCAGTAAATTATAGAAAATTTTTTGAAGAAATAATGACTGGAATTTTCTCACATTTTGTGGGAAAAAATTAACTTACCCAAGTAGTACAGCAGACTGAAAGCAAGATAATTACAAAGAAAACCACTTATTGACTGTCCAGAGAAAAATGGTATATTGTACATAGGGAACAACAGTGCAGTTAACACCTCACTTCTTATCAGAAACTGTGGAGGTCAAAAGACATTGGACCAACATATTCAAATGATGGAAAAAAGAAAGCTTTCAGCCAAGAATTCTGCATCTGGAAAAATTATCCTTCAAAAATAAGGGGAAAATAAAGACATTTTTGGATAAACAGAGATGAGAGAATTTTTCACTAGCAGACCTGCACTATAAGACATTTTGGCTGAAGGGAAATGACACCTAAATGGATATTTGGATCTACACAAAGGAGTGAAGAGCACATGAAATTGTAAATGTGTGTAAAACAAAAATAATGATTTTTTGTTATGTCTTAATATCTTTAAAAGACAAGTGACTGAAAAAGTATAGTACTACTGTGCTGATGTGTTTACAATGTATACAGATAATACACAGGACAACAAAAATACAGGATGAGGCACAGGTGAGTGGAATATTTTGTAAGGTTTCTATAGTTTTACCTTAAGTAATTCGATAAATTTTCTTTTCTTTCTGTTTTTTTTTTTTTTTTTTTTTTTTGTCCCCCAGGCTTGTCTTTGTCTGGCTTTGTCCCCCAGGCTTGAGTGCAGTGATGCAATCTCAGCTCGCTGCAGCCTCAACCTCCCAGGTTCAAGCAATCCTCTTGACTCAGCCCCGCCAAGTAGCTGGGACTACAGGTGCGCACCATCACGCCAGCCAGATTTTTTTGTAGGGATGGAGTTTCACCATGTTGCCAAGGCTGGTCTCCACAGCTCCTGAGCGCAAGCAATCTGCCCACCTTGGCCTCCCAAAGTGCTAGGACTACAAGCCTGAGCCACCATGCTGTGCCAAGAAGTAATTCAATACATTTTCTAAAATTTTCTAAAGTACACTGGAATAAATTGAATTTATACACTGTAGTCCCAAGAGCAACCACTAAAAATATAATGAAAAGACATATAGATAGAAAACCAATAGAGGAGTTAAAATGGAATGCCAAAAAATATGTCACTAGCATAAAGGGAGGTAGGAAAAGAGGGACAATGAAACAAATAATGGATAGAAGAAATAGGAAAGAGATGGTATGATTGTAGGTTTAAAAGTGAACATGTAAATAATTAAGTGTAAATAGACCAAAATTCTAAACAAAAGGCAGAGATTGTCAGACTGGACCAAAAAAAAAAGCAAGAACCAAGTATGTGCTATCTATATGAGATGTACTGTCTATATGAGAGACATTCTACATATAAAGATGCAAATACACTGAGAGTAAAAGGATAGAAAGAAATATACCATGCAAATAGTATGCACAAGAAATTTGTAGTAACTCTATTCTTACCAGAAAAACAAGACATCAATACAAGGAAGATTTCTGGAGACTAAGAGGAATCTTTCATAATGATAAAAGAGTTAACACATTAGGAAGTTATAAGAATTACATGTGTATATGCACCTAATAAATACAGTTTCAAAATACATGAAGCAAACAACTAAGAGAGGGAAAACAGTCAAACTACAACCGTAGTTGGACACTTTTCACTCTGTAGTTGATAATACAACTGGATCGCCCCCACCAAAGTAAAGAAATCAAAGATCTGAAAAACACTATTAACTACCATGACCTGATTGATATTTATAGAACTGTAACTAACAAATACAGAATACACTTTTTCTCCCTAAGTACACAAGGAAGATTCACCAGGGTAGGCCGTGTGTTAGGACATGAGTCTCAGTGTATTTCAAAAGATTAAAATCTTACAGAGTATGTTTTCTGACCATAATGAAAGTAAATTTGAACCACATGATAATAAAATGACTACATATTAAAAATTGTGTCCTTCAGAAAAATTCACATACTTTTTAAAATTGTGGGATGAAGCCAAAGTAGTCATTACAGTGAAATTTTTAGTTTTAAATGTTAATGTTAGAAAAGAAAAAAGTCTAAACCTAAGCTTCCATTTAAGAAGCTAGAGAAAGAACAAATTAAATACAAAGTAGAAAGAAGGAAATAATAAAGATAACAGAAATAGATGAAATAGGAAACAGATCAAAAAGATCAATAAAGTTGATAAATAGCTAGATCAGGGATTTAAAAAATGTTACCAATATTGGGGATAAAAATAGGAATTGGGAATAAATCTATACAGAGTATAGAATTATAAAGTTGACAGGAAATATGAACAATTTTATGCCAATAAATTTGATAAATGAAATGGACAAATTTCTGGAAAAACACAAGTCATAAAACTAACACAAGAAGGCAGATAAAATATTAATAGCCCTATGTCTACTAAAGAAATTGAATTTGTAATTTTAATTTGTACCTTTCCTGCAAAGCAAATTTCAGGTGCAAAGAGGTTCACTGGTGAATTTCACCAAACATTTAAGAAAGACATAGTACCATTCAAACACAACTTAAATAGAAGGGGTAGGACTGTTTCTCAAGTTACTTTATTAAATCAGTTTTACTCTGATAACAAAAACAGAAAAAAAATTACAAAAATAGAAAATTACAAATAAAAATCCCATATAAACATGCAAATTTTTTTTTTCTGAGAGATGACGCCTCACTCTATTGCCCAGGCTGGAGTGCAGTGGTGACCCCACAGCTGACTGCAGCCTTGACCTCCCACATTTAAGCAGTCTTCCCTTCTGAGCCTCCCAGGTAGCTGGGACCACTGGCATATGCCACCACGCCCAGCCAGTTTATTTTATTTTTTTTGTAGAGACAAGGTCTTGCTTTGTTGCCCAGGCTGGTCTTGAACTCCTGAGCTCAAGAGATCCTCCCGCCTAGGCCTCCCAAAGTGCTGGGATTACAGGCATGCACCACTGTGCCCAGGATAAATATGCAAAAATTCTTAACAAAATATCGATTCACTGAAGCCCATCAATATAGGAAAAGAACAATACATCATAACCAAGAGAAGCTTTCCCAGGATTGCAAGGTTAATTTAACACTAGAAAATCCATCAATATAAATTCTGATATTAGTAGAACAAAAAATCATCATCATCTTAACAGATGCTGAAGAAGCATTTGACAAAATTTAGTAGCTCTTCCCAATTTAAACTCTGAGTAAACTAAGAAAAGAAGAGAACTTCCTTAAAGGCGTCTGTGAAAACCCCACAGCTAGAATTATACTTAATGATGGAAGTCTGAAATTCTTTCTTCTAAGTTCAAGAACAAGCAGGGAAGGCAGAGCAAGATGGCTGAATAGAACCCTCCAGCATTTGTCCCCCAAGCAAGAACACCAACTTGAACAACTATCCACACAAGAAAGCACTTTCAGAAGAACTAAAACTCAGGTGAGCAATCACAGTACCTGGTTTTAACATATTAAGGAAAGAGGCACTGAAGAAGTTAGGAAAGATAGTCTTGAATTGCCTATACCACACCTCCTCCGTCATCCAGCAGTGCAGTATGATGTGGAGAGAGAATCTGTGTGCTTGGGGAAGAGAAAGCGAAGTGATTGTGAGACTTTGCATCGGAACTCACTGCAGCCCTGTCACAGCAGAAAACAACACGCGGCAGAATTTGGCCAGTGCCCACAGCAGAAGCATTTAGAACAGACATAGCCAGAGGCAAATTGCCCGTCCTAGCAGTCGGAACTTGAGTTCCAGCTAGCCCCACCACCATGGGCTAAGGTGCTCTGGGGTGCTGAATAAATTTGAAAGGCAGTCTAGGCCACAAGGACTGCAATTCCTGCACAAGTCCTGGTGCTGTGTTGGGCTCACATCTAGTGGATTTGGGGTCCACATGATCCAGTGAGACACCAACTGGGGCAGCCAAGGGAAAGCTTATGTCACCCCTTCCCCAACTTCAGGCAGCACAACTCACAGCACCAGGAGGAGAGGGAAGAGTAAAGAGGGGTCAGGCATGGTGGCCTGTAATCCTAGCACTTTGAGAGGCCAAAGTGGGCAGATCACCTGAGATCAGGAGTTCGAGACCAGCCTGGCCAACATGGCAAAACCCCGTCTCTACTAAAAATACAAAAATTAGCCAGGCATGGTGGCAGGCACCTGTAATCCCAGCTACTCAGGAGGCTGAGGCCTGAGAATCATTTGAACCCTGGAGGCGGAGGTTGCAGTGAGCCAAGATCTCACCACTGCGCTCCAGCCTGGGTGACAGAGCAAGGCTCTGTCTCAAAAAAAAAAGTGTATGAGTAGATAATTTAAGTAGACCTATATCCAATAAAGAAATAGAATCAATAATTATTAATAACCTTCCAGAACTGGACGACATTCTGTTAAGTGAAATAAGTTAGGCACACAAAGACAAACTTTGCATGTCCTCATTGTTTGTGAGAGCTAAAAATTAGACTCATGGTGATAGTGAGTAGAATGATGGTTACCAGAGGCTAGGAAGGGGAGTAGGGGGTTGGGAGAGAATGGATGGTTAATGGGTACAAAAATATTTTTAGATACAATGAATAAGATCTAGTATTTGATAGCACAACAAGGTGACTACAGTAAGCAATATTTTATTATACATTTCAGAATGACTGAGGGAGTCCAATTGGAATGTTCTTAACAAAGAAATGAATTCTTGAGGTGATGGATACCCATTTACCCTGATGTGATTATTACACATTATACAATGTCTCAAAATATTCCTGTCTCAAAATATGTACCCCATAGATATATATAATTATTATATATAATATCTAATATATAATTATTTGTATATATAATTTGTATATATAATATACAATTATATATAATATATAATATATAATATATATAATAATATATAATTATATAATTTTATATAATATATAATTTTATATAATATATAATTTTATATAATTTCATATAATATATAATTATATGTTATATAATAATATATATAATTTATATAATATATAATATATAATTATATATTGTATATAATTTTATATAATATATAATTATATTATATATTATATATAATTATATATAATTTTATATATATAATTATATTTTTTATATTTATACACACACACACACACACACACACACACACACACACTATGCACTTATAAAAATTAAAAAGAAATAAAACAAGGGCCAGGCACAATGGCTCACGCTGGTCATCCCACCACTTTGGGAGACCAAGGCAAGAGGATTACTTGAGCCCAGGAGTTCAAGACCAGTCTGTAGTGACATCCCGTCTCTACGAAAAAAAAAAAGCTGGACATGGTGGTACACACCTGCAGTCCCTGCTACATAGGAGGCTGAGGTCATAGGATCACTCCACTGCACTCCAGCCTGTGTGACATAGTGAGACCCCATCTCAAAAAACAAAAAGCAAGAATGTCTGTTCTTGGCACTTCTATTCAGAATTATACTGAATGCCTTAGCAATTGCAATAAGGCAAAAAAAAAGGCATACAGATTGGAAAGGAAGTAAGACTTATTTGCAGACAACACACATATAGAAACGTATATAGAAATCCTAGGTTCCAAGATAGCCGAATAGGAGCAGCTCCAGTCTACAGCTTCCAGCGTGGGCAGCGCAGAAGACGGGTGGTTTCTGCATTTCCAACTGAGGTACCGGGTTCATCTCACTGGGGCTTGTCGGACAGTGGGTGCAGGACAGTGGGTGCAGCCCACCAAGCAAGAGCCGAAGCAGGGCGAGGCATCGCCTCACCCGGGAAGCACAAAGGGTCAGGGAATTCCCTTTCCTAGCCAAGGGAATCTGTGACAGACGGCACCTGGAAAATGGGGTCACTCCCACCCTAATACTGTGCTTTTCCAACGGTCTTAGCAAACAGCACACCAGGAGATTATATCCTGCGCATGGCTCAGAGGGTCCCATGCCCACGGGGCCTCACTCATTGCTAGCACAGCAGTGTGAGATCAAACTACAAGGTGCCAGCGAAGCTTGGGGAAGGGTGCCCGCCATTGCTGAGGCTTGAGTAGGTAAAGCAGCCAGGAAGCTCAAACTAGGTGGAGCCCACCGCAGCTCAAGGAGGCCTGCCTGCCTCTGTAGACTCCACCTGTAGGGGCAGGGCATAGCCGAACAAAAGGCAGCAGAAACTTCTGCAGACATAAATGTCCGTATCTGACAGCTTTGAAGAGAGTAGTGGTTCTCCCAGCATGGAGTTTGAGATCTGAGAACGGACAGACTGCCTCCTCAAGTGGGTCCCTGACCCCTGAGTAGCCTAACTGGGAGGCACCTCCTAGTAGGGGCCAACCGACACCTCACATAGCCGGGTGCCCCTCTGAGATGAAGCTTCCAGAGGAACAATCAGGCAGCTACATTTGCTGTTCTGCAATATTTGCTGTTCTGCAGCCTCCACTGGTGATACCCAGGCAAACAGTGTCTGGAGTGGACCTCCAGCAAACTCCAACAGAACTGCAGCTAAGGGTCCTGACTGTTAGAAGGAAAACTAACAAACAGAAAGGACATTCACACCAAAACCCCATCTGTACGTCATCATCATCAAAGACCACAGGTAGATAAAACCACAAAGATGGGGAGAAACCAGAACAGAAAAGCTGAAAATTCTAAAAATCAGAGTGCCTCTTCTCCTCCAAAGGAATGCAGCTCCTTGCCAGCAACAGAACAAAGCTGGACGGAGAATGACTTTGACGAGTTGAGAGAAGAAGGCTTCAGATGATCAAACTTCTCCTAGCTAAAGGGGGATGTTTGAACCCATCGCAAAGAAGCTAAAAACCTTGAAAAAAGATTAGACGAATGGCTATCTAGAATAAACCAGTGAAGAGAAGTCCTTAAATGAACTGATGGAGCTGAAAACCATGACACGAGAACTACGTGATGCATGCACAAGCTTCAGTAGCTGATTTGATCAACTGGAAGAAAGGGTATCAGTGACTGAAGATCAAATGAATGAAGCGAGAAGAGAAGTTTAGAGAAAAAAGAGTAAAAAGAAACGAACAAAGCCTCCAAGAAATACGGGACTATGTGAAAAGACCAAACCTGCATCTGACTGGTGTACCTGAAAGTGACAGGGAGAATGGAACCAAGTTGGAAAACACTCTTCAGGATATCATCCAGGGGAACTTCCCCAACCTAGCAAGGCCGGCCAACATTCAAATTCAGGAAGTACAGAGAATGCCACAAAGATACTCCTCGAGAAGAGCAACTCTGAGACACATAATTGTCAGATTCACCAAAGTTGAAGGAAAAAATGTTAAGGGCAGCCAGAGAGAAAGGGCGAGTTACCCACAAAGGGAAGCCCATCAGACTAACAGCTGATCTCTCGGCATAAACTCTATATGCCAGAAGAGAGTGGGGGCCAATATTCAACATTCTTAAAAGAATTTTCAACCCAGAATTTCATATCCACCCAAAATAAGCTTCATAAGTGAAGGAGAAATAAAATCCTTTACAGACAAGCAAATGCTGAGAGATTTTGTCACCACCAGGCCTGCCTTACCAGAGCTCCTGAAGGAAGTGCTAAACATGGAAAGGAACAACCAGTACCAGCCACTGCAAAAACATGCCAAATTGTAAAGACCATCGATGCTAGGAAGAAACTGCATCAACTAACGAGCAAAATAACCAGCTAACATCATAATGACAGGATCAAATTCACACATAACAATATTAACATTAAATGTAGATGTGCTAAATGCTCCAATTAAAAGGCACAGACTGGCAAATTGGATAAAGACTCAAGACCCATCAGTGTGCTGTATTCAGGAGACCCATCTCACGTGCAGAGACACACATAGGCTCAAAATAAAGGGATGGAGGAAGATCTACCAAGCAAATGGAAAACAAAAAAAGGCAGGGGTTGCAATCTTAGTCTCTGATAAAACAGACTTTAAACCAACAAAGATCAAAATAGACAAAGAAGGCCATTGCATAATGGTAAAGGGATCAATTCAACAAGAAAAGCTAACTATCCTAAATATATATGCACCCAATACAGGAGCACCCAGATTCATAAAGCAAGTCCTTAGAGACCTACAAAGAGACTTAGACTCCCACACAATAATAATGGGAGACTTTAACACCCCACTGTCAACATTAGACAGATCAATGAGACAGTTAACAAGGATATCCAGGAATTGAACTCAGCTCTGTACCAAGGGGACCTAATAGACATCTACAGAACTCTCCACCCCAAATCAACAGAATATACATTCTTCTCAGCACCACACCGCACTTATTCCAAAATTGACCACATAGTTGGAAGTAAAGCACTCCTCAGCAAACGTAAAAGAACAGAAATTATAACAAACTGTCTCTCAGACCACAGTGCAATCAAACTAGAACTCAGGATTAAGAAACTCACTCAAAACCGCTCAACTACATGGAAACTGAACAACCTGCTCCTGAATGACTACTGGCTACATAACGAAATGAAGGCAGAAATAAAGGTGTTCTTTGAAACCAATGAGAACAAAGACACAACATACCAGAATCTCTGGGACACATTTAAAGCATTGTGTAGAGGGAAATTTATAGCACTAAGTGCCCATAAGGGAAAGCAGGAAAGATCTAAATTGACACCTTAACATCACAATTAAAAGAACTAGAGAAGCAAGAGCAAACACATTCAAAAGCTAGCTGGCAGAAGGCAGGAAATAACTAAGATGAGAGCAGAACTGAAGGAAATAGAGACACAAAAAACCCTTCAAAAAATCAATGAATGCAGGAGCTGGTTTTTTGAAGAGATCAACAAAATTGATAGACCACTAGCAAGACTAATAAGAAAAGAGAGAAGATTCAAATAGACACAATAAAAAATGATAAAAGGGTTATCACCACCAATCCCACAGAAATACAAATGACCGTCAGAGAATACAATAAACACTTCTATGCAAATAAACTAGAAAATCTAGAAGAAATGGATAAATTCCTGGACACATACACCCTCCCAAGACTAAAGCAGGAAGAAGTTGAATCCCTGAATAGACCAATAACAGGCTCTGAAATTGAGGCAATAATTAATAGCCTACCAACGAAAAAAAGTCCAGGACCAGACAGATTCACAGCCGAATTCTACCAGAGGTACAAGGGGGAGCTGGTACCGTTCCTTCTGAAACTATTCCCATCAATAGAAAAAGAGGGAATCCTCCCTAACTCATTTTATGAGGCCAGCATCATCCTGATACCAAAGCCTGGCAGAGACACAACAAAAAAAGAGAATTTTAGACCAATATCCCTGATGAACATTGATGCAAAAATCTTCAATAAAATGCTGGCAAACCAAATCCAGCAGCACATCAAATTGCTTATCATGATCAAGTGGGCTTCATCCCTGGGATGCAAGGCTGTTTCAACATATGCAAATCAATAAACGTAATCCATCATATAAACAGAACCAAAGACAAAACCACATGATTATCTCAATAGATGCAGAAAAGGCCTTTGACAAAATTCAACAGCCCTTCATGCTAAAAACTCTCAATCAATTAGGTATTGATGGGAGAAAATTTTTGCAATCTACCCATCTGACAAGGGGCTAATATCCAGAATCTACGAAGAACTTAAACAAATTTACAAGAAAAAATCAAACAACCCTATCAAAAAGTGGGCGAAGGATATGAACAGATACTTCTCAAAAGAAGACATTTATGCAGCCAACAGACACGTGAAAAAATGCTCTTCATCACTGGCTATCAGAGAAATGCAAATCAAAACCACAATGAGATACCGTCTCACACCAGTTAGAATGGCGATCATTAAAAAGTCAGGAAACAACAGGTGCTTGAGAGGATGTGGAGAAATAGGAACACTTTTACACTGTTAGTGGGACTGTAAACTAGTTCAACCATTGTGGAAGACAGTGTGGCGATTCCTCAAGGATCTAGAACTAGAAATACCATTTGACCCAGCCATCCCATTACTGGGTATATACCTAAAGGATTATAAATCATACTGCTATAAAGACACATGCACATGTATGTTTATTGCGGCACTATTCACAATAGCAAAGACTTGTAACCAACCCAAATGTCCATCAATGATAGACTGGATTAAGAAAATGTGGCACATATACACCATGGAATACTATGCAGCCATAAAAAAGGATGAGTTCATGTCCTTTGTTAGGGACATGGATGAAGCTGGAAATCATCATTCTCAGTAAACTATCACAAGGACAGAAAACCAAACACCGCATGTTCTCACTCATAGGTGGGAATTGAAACAGTGAGAACACTTGGACACAGGAAGGGGAACATCACACACCGGGGCCTGTCATGGGGTGGGGGGCTAGGGGAGGGATAGCATTAGGAGATATACCTAATGTAAATGATGAGTTAATGGGTGCAGCACACCAACATGGCACAGGTATACATATGTAACAAACCTGCATGTTGTGCACATGTACCCTAGAACTTATAATAATTTTTTAAAAGTTAAAAATAAATAAAAATAAAATGTAAGCAAACACTTAAAAAAAATAAATTGAAAGAATAAAAAAAGAAAAAAAAAATCCCAAGGAATCGACGAAAAAAGTTTACTCAAACTATTATGTGAACTTAGCAAGGTTGCAGGATACAGTATCAATATACATAAATCAAGTATATTTATATTAGCAATGGACAATTGGAAAATGAAGTAAAAATACATTTCTATTTTCAATATCATTAAATTCTTGAGGATAGAGAGAGAGGTTTGCATAGGTTCAGTGGAGACATGATAGAGGAATGGGTTAGTTTAACCAGCGGGGAGAAGTGATCTGGAAGGATTTCACACGTAATGGTATCTGTGCTGTGTCTTGAAAGATAAGAAACTCCAAACAATCAAAGGGATGATAGTCATTCCAGGTAAAAGGACAAAAGCAAACATTCCTAGGCCCTAGGTGATCCACCGTGCCTAGCCGGTGATGGGTTTCAAATGTCCAGGCACAGTGGCTCATGCCTGTAATCCCAGCACTTTGGGAGGCCAAAGCGGGTGGATCACCTAAGGTCAGGAGTTTGAGACCGGCCTGGCCAACGTGGTGAAACCCCATCTCTACAGAAATAAATACAGAATATTAAATAAAATACAGAAATTAGTCTGGTGTGGTGGCATACACCTGTAATCCCAGCTACTTGGGAGGGTGAGGCAGGAGAATCGCTTGAACCCAGGAGGCAGAGTTTGCAGTGAGCCAAGATTGTACCACTACACTCCAGCCAAGGCTAACAGAGCGAGACTCCGTCTCAAGAAAATAAATAAATAAATAAATAAATAAATAAATAAATAAATAAATAAATGGGAGAGACCTGGTGATGTTGCATTTTAGCAGTTGGCTGTGGGAGAGGAGTTGAGTTCAGACCTTTGATGGCCTTTCAGCTATTTATGTTCAGTTCTTGCCATTGACAGCCAAGCCACCAAAGGTGGTGATACTATATGGCTGCTTCCTAAGAATGAGGCATTAGGTTTCACCAAGCAATCCCTATTCCAGGATGAGGGAATCCCTATTCCAGGATGCCAGCTTCTCACTTGACCCACTCAGAATTCTGTATTCTGCTTTGGTGCTGTTGACAATGGTGACCATCTATTAAGAGAAATAGCATGGTAGCTGTGATAGCAGCAATAGTATTGCTAGCCTCAGGGCCCTAAACTACCAGTGGCAGTAGTATCCAAGTAAGTGAGAAGACAGAAGGTAGAGCAATATTTTTCCAGGCTCATGGTACAGAGGTTGATTACAATACCTCTGTACTGTATCATTAGGCTTTGTGAATAGCCTGATCAATTTGCCAAGGAATGGAAGTGGAGATCGGAAGTTTTCATTAATTTACTTACTTAGGGCTCAGACTTACACTATTGGTTTTATTACCCTTGTTATATTATCTTTCATATCTGTTTCTCGGTTGATTACATATTGAATCAAGTTGTATATTCCTAGGCCCTCACAGGGAAAGAAGGAGACAGATCTGTGTTTGAATGTCTGTCTCTGCTACTTAGCTATATAATCTTAAGGTAGATAACCTAACCCCTCTGAACTCTAGTTTCCTCATCTGTATGATGGATTGATAATGCCTACCTTATCAGGTCATTGTGAAAATTAAAGATACGTGAAAATACTCAGCATGTTCTTAGCACATAGATTCTCTTACATTTGCTTCACTTCTTAAAATGTAGCTTTTGTTGTAGGTTATCCTGTGTATTTGACCTTCCAAACAAAGGTTGCTTTTGACTTTGTGACTTAAGGTTGGAATATCTCCTACTACTCCCCTGTCCTCCTTGGACCAGAAAAAAAAAAAAATCCCACTATGATCCTAGTCATGCTTATGTGGCATTTGGAGAATTTAAGAAGGTATAGAAATTGACAGCTTTGGCAATATTATTGCTTATGTTATACAAGATGTGTAACTTATCAGTAAGGTGAAATGGCAAAGTAATGCTTATCCTTAAAAGCTAAGACTTAAATCGTCTCAGATAAAGCTAATACTCCCATCTTGACCTCTTCTATTCACACAATCCTTCAACAGGACTTCATTGACTTAACTAGAGAGATCAGACCAAGGACAAAAGATCGCAGTGGACTGTGTGATTGACCTGACAAGAGCTGAGGGAGAAAATAGACCTATTGCCACTCTTGACTTAACTTTAGAACCTGTCACTCCTTCCCAGAGGGAGCCAACCAGTCTTCAGACATGTGCCAGCCTCTCTGGCAAAGCGGTGATGGAAGGGCAGGTGGACAGAAGCTCTCAGCCTACAGCACGGAGACTCATTAACAGTGATCCTGTAGATTTGGACCTAGTGGAAGAAAACACCTTTGTAGGTCCCCCACCCGCTACATCCATCAGTGGAGGCTCTGTTTATCCAACAGAGCCTAATTGTAGCTCAGCCACATTCACAGGTAACCTCAGCTTCTTGGCAAGTCTACAGCTGTCTTCAGATGTTAGCTCCCTCTCCCCAACAAGCAATAATAGTAGCAGCAGCAGCAGCAATCAAAAAGTACCCTTGCCATGCCCACAGCAAGATGTGTCTCGCCCACCACAAGCCTTGCCTTGCCCACTGAGAGCCTCACCTTGTCCACCACGAGCCTTGTCATGCCCATCACAAACCATGCAGTGCAAACTACCAGCTCTAACTCAACCACCTCAAGAAGTGCCATGCCCTCGGCAGAATATCCCAAGCCCACCTCAAGACTCGTTATGGCATCCTCAACACTCACCAAGCCCACCTCAAGACTCTCTGGGCCTACCTCAAGATGTGCCAGGCCCGCCTCAAAGCATATTACATCCACAAGATGTGGCATACCTGCAAGACATGCCACAGTCACCAGGAGATGTGCCACGGTCACCAGGAACCATGCCACCATCACCAGATGTGCCACAGTCAACAGGAGACATGCTAGGGTCACCAGGAGATGTGCCACAGTCACCAAGTTATGTTTCACCGTCACCAGATGCACCACAGTCACCAGGGGGCATGCCACACTTACCGGGAGATGTGTTACATTCACCTGGAGACATGCCACACTCATCAGGGGACGTGACACACTCACCTAGAGACATCCCTCACTTACCAGGAGACAGGCCTGACTTTACCCAGAATGATGTACAGAACTGTGACATGCCTATGGATATCTCAGCTGCGTCCCCTCCAAGCTGCTCTCCCAGCCCACAGTCTGAAACTCCCTTAGAGAAAGTTCCTTGGCTCTCTGTCATGGAAACCCCAGCCAGAAAAGAAATATCACTGTCAGAGCCTGCCAAACCTGGGTCTGCCCACGTACAATCACGAACACCACAAGGTGGGTTGTACAACAGACCATGCCTGCATAGACTGAAGTACTTCTTACGACCTCCGGTTCATCATCTGTTCTTTCAGACGCTAATACCGGATAAAGACACGAGAGGTGAGCTAACATCTTCCCTCAGGGATTAGGTGTCCTTTCCCTAGGCCTAGGAGAAGGTCAGTGTGACTGGAGTCCATGCGTGAGAGGACAGGTCAAGCATAAATGAAATTTCTTATCTTTCCTCCACTTGTGAAGACCCATTCAGTGTAGAGGCCCAGATCTGGGTTCAAATTTTAGCCCCACGCTTAAAAACTGTCACTTTACTTTTTTTTTTTTTTTTTTTTGAGACCGAGTCTTGCTCTGTCTCCCAGGCTAGAGTGCAGTGGCACAATCTTGGCTCACTGCAACCTCTGCCTCCCAGGTTCAAGAGTTTCTCCTACCTCAGCCTCCTTAGTAGCTGGGACTACAGGCGCATGCTGCCACGCCCGGCTAATTTTTTGTATTTTTAGTAGAGACAGGATTTCACCATGTTGGCCAGGCCAGTCTCGATCTCCTGATCTCGTGATCCACACGCCTCAGCCTCCCAAAATGCTGGGATTACAGGCATGAGCCACCGCGCCCAGCAGGGTACTTTACCTTTTTGAGCCTTAGCTTTCCTATCTGTAAAATGGAAGTAATAACATACCTCACAGGGTCATACATGAAAGTGTCAGGGTGTCAGGCTCATCGTAGGCTTATGTAAATTCTTATCTTCTAGCTGGATGTGGTGGCATGCACCTGTAATCCCAGCTACTCAGGAGGCTGAGGCAGGAGAATCACCTGAATCTGGGAGGCGGAGGTTGCAGTGAGCTGAGACTGCACCACTGCACTCCAGCCTTGGCCACAGAGCAAGACTCTGTCTCAAAAAAATAAATACATTTTTATCTTCAACTCCTATGCTTTTCCCTTCCTGGTGCCCTTTTACAGCTTCCATATCACAGAGATAATAATACTGTATCACTTAAGGGCCTCCAAAATTATTACTTGCTGACTTTGGGGGAGGAAATTCAGTTTTAAGACATGAGTGGGAATGCACTTTCCATTGGTCATCATTGATTTATGAGAAGTAAACTAGATGTGTCAGGGAAAATAACTGTGGCTAAGTTCCACAGTATGAAGTGTTTTTTAGTTATGTACATCCCATCCCCCATATTAAGAAAAACCAGCTTGAAACAGTTCAGTGTCAAAAGGTATGCTCTCCTCATTCAAGCAGTGATCCAGGTAGGCAGGAGCCAAGGATTCACACTGATTTGACCTTGGAGAATGATTTTTTTTCTCTTTTTTAAAATTATTACATCTTCTAATATGTTGTATGTCTTCTCCTTCTTTATGCCTCTGCCTGACCACTAGCTCATTCTTTTTTTTTGAGACAGAGTCTCACCCTGTCACCCAGGCTGGAGTACAGTAGTACGATCTCAGCTCACTCACTGCAACCTCCGCCTCCCAGGTTCAAGCGATTCTCCTGCCACAGCCTCCCGCGTAGCTGGGTTACAGGCGCCCACCACCACTTCCGGTTAACTTTTTGTACTTTACTAGTAGAGACAGGGTTTCACCATGTTGTCCAGGCTTGTCTTGAACTCCTGACCTCAAGTGATCCGCCCACCTTGGCCTCCCAAAGTTCTGAGATTACAGGCGTGAGCCACCGCGCCCAGCCCAGACAGCATTTATTATTGTGAATAATTTGATGTATTTCCTTCCCAGTTGCCTTTTTTATACATAGGCATTTTACATACTTTAATAATTGGGATTTTTAACATATACACTTATTATTTTTGATGTTTATGGGGAGTAGGGGCTGAGAGGATGGCTCTGAAGTTTATGCCACGTGTGTTTGAAACCAGCTTCTGCCATTTGTTGTATGACAAATGCTTACCCTCCAAATCTCAGTTTCTTTGTTTATAAAATAGGAATAATAATAGTATGTATTTCCTAAGATTATTGTAAGAACTAGTTGAGGATCAATTAAGTATTCAGTGCTGGGCGCGGTGGCTCACGCCTATAACCCCAGCATTTTGGGAGGCCATGGTAGGTGGATTGCTTGAGCCCAGGAGTTTGAGACCAGCCTAGGCAACATGGTGCAACCCCCTATATAAAAAATTCAAAAATTAGCTGAATATGGTGGCACACACCTGTATCCTAGCTACTCTGGAGGCTGAGGCAGGAGAATGGCGTGAACCCGGGAGGCGGAACTTGCAGTGAGCCAGGATCGCGCCACTGCACTCCAGCCTGGGCAACAGAGGGAGACTCCATCTCAAAAAAAAAAAAAAAAAAATTAATTGTTTAAGGCCAGACATGATGGCTCACACCTGTAATCTCAGCACTTTGGGAAGCCACGACAGGCTTGATCACTTGAGTTCACAAGTTCGAGACCAGCCTGGGCAACATGGTAAAACCCCGTCTCTACTAAAAATACAAAAAAAATTAGCCAAGCGTGGTGGCACACGCCTGTAGTCCCAGCTACTTGGGAGGCTGAGGTGGGAGGATGGCTTGAGCCTGGGAGGCAGAGGTTGCAGTGAGCCATGATCATGCCACTGTGGTCCAGCCTCGGTGACAGAGCCAGACTTTATCTCAAAAAAAAAAAAAAAAAATTAAGAGCTCCAAATTTATTGTTATTAAACCCTCATATCAAACTTTAAAATTGTTTAATTCTAATTATAAAAGTAATGTATTATGGAAAAATTGAAAAATATAGAAGAGCACATAGAGAAAAAATCACCCCTAATTCTACCACCCACATAATAGAAAATCACTTTTCACATATTCTCTCGCAGTCTTTATATACATATTTTTTGGGGGAAGAAGCAACTTAATATTTACTGTTCTCACAAAAAATAAAATGGAATTCTTCTCCTAACAACAAAATGAATTTAAAACTTCTTTCTTATCTATTTCAGTATCTGATATAGTATCACAGCTATCCCTAAGTCTCTAGTTACCCTCACCCCAAAATCATCCTAGGCTACCTCTTGACCCTTTTGTATTTTTCTGTCTATGCTATATTTTAACATAGATGAAATCATGTTATATGTACAATTTTGAATTCTGATTTTTTAACTTTATATGAGCTTTTTCCCATGTCATTAAAAGTTTTTTAGATAAAGCTCTTTTTTGTCTGTTTTGATTTGGAGTCTCGCTCTGTCACCTGGGCTGGAGTGCAGTGGTGCCATCTCGGTTCACTGCAGTCTCCACCTTCTGGGTTTAAGCAGTTCTCATGTCTCAGCCTTCAAGTAGCTGGGACTACAGATGCGTGCCACCACTTCTGGCTAATTTTTATATTTTTATTGGAGACGGGGTTTCACCATGTTGGCCAGGCTGCTCTCGAACTCCTGACCTCAAGCAGTTCGCCTGCCTTGGCCTCCCAAAGTGCTGGGATTACAGGCGTGAGCCACTGCACCCATCCTCTTTTTTTTTTTTTTTAATCATGAAATATTGCAAATGCCTGGAAAACTTTGCTATCTTCAACCTATTCTAGAACCTCTTATTTTTGTATACCATAGAAATCCCGGCTGGGCATGGGCCTGTAATCCCAGCACTTTGGGAGGCTGAGACGGGCAGATCACAAGGTCAGGAGATCGAGACCATCCTGGCTAACATGGTGAAACCCTGTCTCTACTAAAAATACAAAAGAAAATTATCCGGGCGTGGTGGCAGGCGCCTGTAGTCCCAGCTACTCTGAAGGCTGAGGCAGGAGAATGGCGTGAACTCGGGAGGCGGAGCTTGCAGTGAGCCGAGATCGCGCCACTGTATTCCAGCCTGGGGGACAGAGCGAGACTCCATCTCAAAAAAAAAAAAAAAAAATCCCTCCTAATTTCCATCTTTTTAATCTCTACAGAACAAGGGTCAAAAATTAGAACCCATCCCTCATCGAAGACTAAGAATGGTAACAAATACCATTGAAGAGAATTTTCCCCTGGGGACTGTGCAGTTTTTGATGGACTTTGTGTCACCCCAGCATTACCCACCAAGAGAAATCGTGGCTCACATCATCCAGAAAATCTTGCTCAGTGGCTCTGAGACTGTGGATGTCCTAAAGGAGGCCTACATGCTTCTCATGAAAATTCAACGGTATGAACCGTAACCTCTGGCTGTTGGCGAATCTTCTAGGGATCTTGGACTCAGGGCATAGCTTTCTCTTGACAGGCTTTTTTAACCTAACCGTTACAGTGGGTGACTTAGTATATTAGTGTTATTTGAATTGCAAATGATAGGAAACCCAGTCCAAACAGACCTTAACTACTGCTAAAAGAGAATTTAATGGCTTGTGTTACTAGAAACGTAGAAACCGAGGAGTGAGATGTGACTTGATTCAGCATACAAAAATGGTTACCAGGGTTCATTCTGCAGCTCTACTTTGGTTCTGTTTTGGGGCCGCCTGAGGTAGCCTCTCAGCCTCAGTTCTGTTTTGGGGCCGCATGTGGTAGCCTCTCAGCCTCAGTTCTGTTTTGGGGCTGCATGTGGTAGCCTCTCAGCCTCAGGCTTTTATGACACTTCCAGTGGGAGAGAGTGTCTTTCCTTTGTAGTCACCCAAGAGTTCTGAAATTGAGTCTTGCAGAATTTAATTGGCCTAATGAGAGACATGACCATATCTTTGAGCCAATCACCATGAATTGAGGCTTAGAACAGCACGATTGGCTAAAAAAGCCACATGCTTCATTTTGGGGTTCTGGTAGGTAAAACTAGTTGGTTAAGAGTAGTGAAGAGTTGGTTTCTTCAGACAAAATTATAGTACTGAAGCTTTCCAAAAGGGGAGTGGATACTGGATAGCAAAAAACAGTGAAGTTCCACTACTCTCAGATTGACATGGTATGATACCAGAAGATGAGCAAGAGCATGGAGGATAATGGAGGATAAGAAGAGGCTTCTTCCTTCTATCACCTTCAGATCCTATCCCTTCTTCCGCTAAATTCTCCATAATTCTAATTGATTTCACTTGACTTTCAGGCTACATCCAGCCAATGCCAAGACAGTGGAGTGGGACTGGAAACTGCTCACCTATGTCATGGAGGAAGAGGTAACAACAATTATAAGATTATATCTTCTGTAGGGGAAGTTTTAACTATAAAGAAAAGTGATACCAGGTGCCATGGCTCACACCTGTAATCCCAGCATTTTCAGAGGCCGAGGCAGTAGGACAGTTTGAGCCCAGGAGTTTAAGGCCAGCCTGGGCAACAAAGTGAGACCCTGTCTCTACAAAAATAAAAATAAAATATTTAGCCAGGCATAGTGATGCATGCCTGTGGTCCCAGCTACACAGAAGGCTGAGGCAGGAGGATTGCTTGAGCCTAGGAGGTCAAGGCTATAGTGATCCATGATCACAACACTGTACTCCAGCCTCGGTGACAGAGCAAGACCCTGTCTTAAAAGAAAAAAGAAAAGTGACAGTAAATCTGGTAATAAAGTCTACACCATTATTCCCTCCTGATACTCCCACCCCTGCCAAAAAATTCCTATTGAAATGGTATGTGCTATCTTCCAATTCAAGATTTAGTATATTTACTTATCCCTCTCCTTGAGATCCCATTAAAAATAATAGTAAATGAATAGAGAAAGTTATAAATTCATGGCTATGAAAAAAGGGGAAGGATAGTAGATTTGAATGAAGATTAGGGAGACCTACAGAGAATGTAAGAGTGATGACTGATGAGCCGGGCAGAGAAAGCCACATACATGTAAAGAGGCTACAGCCAAGGAAGGATGAATCTTCACTTTAGAGCACCAGAGAGGTCTTGGACTTAGAAACACAATATCTAATAGAGGGCAAGAGTCAGATGTGGGCTATTGGATATTTATTGAAAGTTTGTGAATGCAACAGCCAACCTCTTCTTTGCTGAGGGCAGAAGGATCAGTAGCCAGGTTACCTACCTTCAGGCAAAAAGTCAGAGAATTTATTGTCTAAAAAAGTTGAATGAGGCCAGGCGCGGTGGCTCATGCCTGTAATCCCAGCACTTTGGGAGGCCAAGACGGGCAGATCACCTGAGGTCGGGAATTTGAGACCAGCCTGCCCAACATGGAGAAACTCCGTCTCTACGAAAAAATACAAAATTAGCTGGGTGTGGTGGCACATGCCTGTAATCCCAGCTACTCGGGAGGCTGAGGCAGGAGAATCACTTGAACCCGGGAGGTGGAGGTTGCAGTGAGCCCAGATCATGCCATTGCACTCCAGCCTGGGCAGCAAGAGTGAAACTCTGTCTCAAAAAAACAAACAAACAAACAAAAAAACATTGAATGAACCGTCTGTAATAAACAAAACAAAGACAGCTAGTGCAGAGTTGGTGCTACACAGGAAGAAGGTCTTCCACATTCTGACCTTTAAGGATCCCCAAGTTTAATTGCCAACTTTTTGTCTGCTCACCTAAAGCAATTGGCTAAAACAAATTACTTAGAATTCTGTACTTAGCCAAACTATCAGTTAAGTGTGAGGATAGAATTAAGACATTTCCAGCTATGCAGGAATTTGAAAATATATCCCCATACCCTGTTTCTTAGGAGGTTACCTGAGGTAGTATATCAAAGGAATGAGGAAGTAATCAAAAAAAGGGGGGAGGCATGGGATTCAGGCAACATCAGATTTAATCCAGGAGAGTATTGAAGTCCCAAGATTACAATGAATAGCACACCTAGGAAGCAGTTAGTCCAGATAGGAGTGAAATAACAGAGGGCTTTAAGTAGGAACAATCTGGGAGACATCAGCAAAATGGTAGACTAGGAAGCTCCAGGCCCTTGTTACCCCATGGAGACACCGAATTAACAACCATATACAGACCAGAATATCACTGTGAGAACTCTAGAGCCGAATTAAGAAGCTTCAGTGCCCAGGCCAATGCCTAACCAAGAACATAATCTATCAAAAGTGCTAGGAAAGTTTGTGGCATTTTGCGCGCCAACATCCCTCTCCCTCCCCTGCAAAGCATAGTTCAACTAGGAGAAAACCTCCCATACCTTGGCTCTTCCCTTGGGCCAGAAACAAAGAGTGGACCATGCATGCAATGTACTGACTTGTCTGGGGGGTGCCTGGCCGCCCACCTCGGCCTCCCAAGGTGCTGGGATTACAGGCGTGAGCCACCACACCTGTCCTGGAGTGGGAGGCTGAGATGGGAATATCACCTGAGGTCGTCGGGAGTTCGAGGCCAGCTCAGCCAACATGGTGAAACCCTATCTCTACTAAAAATATAAACATTAGCTGGGTGTGGTGGTGCACGCCTGCAGTCTCAGCTACTCGGGCACAAGAATTGCTTGAACCCAGAAGGTGGAGGTTGCAGTGAGCCAAAATCATGCCACTGCACTCCAGTTTGGGCAACAGAGCAAGACTCTGTCTCAAAAAATAAAACAAGTTATGGGTATACAGTATATAAAGATCTAACTTAAGACATTGATAATATAAATTGCAGTGGAGTAGTAAAGAAGTAGAGGTTTTTGTATGCAACTGAAGTTGTTAAACTAGATTGTTATAACTTTAAGATATGTTATGTGATCTCATTGGTAACTTCAAGTAAGGTATCTATAGAATATACCCAAAAGGAAATGGGAAAGAAATCAAAGCATGTCACTACAAAAAAAATCAATGAAAAATGAAGGAAGGCAAAGGAAAGGAGGCCTGAAAAGGCTACAAGACATATAGGAAATAATTAATATGGCCATAGTAATTCTTCCCTATCAGTAATTATTTTAAATGCAAATAGATTAAAGTCCCCAATTAAAAGACAGAGATTAGCTGAATGGAGTAAAAACCAGGATCCAACTATATGCCATCTACAAGAGTCTCACTTTATATCTTTTCAAATACCAAACTCTTGTGGCCAGGTGCAATGGCTCATGCCTGTAATTCCAGCACTTTGGGAGACCAATGTAGAAGGATTGCTTGAAGTCAGGAGTTCAGGACCAGCCTAGACAACATAGAAAGACTCTTGTCTCTAAAAAAGTTTTTTAATTAGTAGGCATAGTAACACACACCTGTTGTCCCAGCTACTGTGGAGGTTGAGGTGGGAGGATCCCGTGAGCCCAGGAATTCTAGGCTGCAGTAGGCTATCATAGTGCCACTGCACTCCAGTTGGGTGACAGAGCAAGACCCTGTCTCTAAAAAAAAAAAAAGAAATAAAGACTTGCTGAAAGTAAAAGGATGAGAAAAGATATTCCTCACAAATGGTAATCCAAAGAGAGCAAGGGTGGCTATACTAATATAAGACAAAAAGACATAAAAACTGTTACAAGTGGCAAAGAAGGACATTATATAATAAAAGGGTCAATTCACCAAGGAGGTATAACAATTACAAATATATATGCACTAAACATCAGACTTCCTAAATATATAAAGCAAACACTGACAGAATTGAAAGAAGAAATAGACAACACAATAATAGTAGGAGATTCAATACCCCACTTTCAATAATGGATAAAATAACCAGACAGAAAATCAATAAGGAAACAGAGCACTCGAACAATACTATAGGCCACTTAACCATAGACATACACAGAACATTCCACCCAACAACAGCAGAACCCACATTCTTCTCAAGTGTACATGGAATTTTCTCCAGATAGACGACATGTTGGGCCACAAAACAAGACTTAAAATATAAAAACATTGACATTCTACCAAGTATCTTCCAATCACAATGGGATGAAACCAGAAATCAATAGCAGGATGAAATCTGGAAAACCCACAAATATGTGGCAACTAAACAACACACAACAATGGCTCAGAGAAAAAAAATCTCATGGGAAATTTTAAAATACCTTGAGACAAATTAAAATGGAAATACAACATACAAAAACTTATGGATGCAGCAAAAGCAGCACTAAGAAGTTACAGATGTAAATAAATGCTTGCATTAAAAAAGAAGAAAGCTCTCAAACCAACAACCTGACTATATCTAAAGTAGGAAAAGAAGAAACTGAACCCAAAGTTAGCAGAGGAAGGTAATAGTAAAGATTAGAGCAGAGATAAATGGAGAATAGGGAAAAAATGAACAAAATTAAGATATGGGGTTTTTAAACATTTCATTTGTCTGTTTTGAGGCAGAGTCTCACTCTGTCACCCAGGCTGGAGCTCACTAGCACAATTATAGCTTACTGAAACCTTGAACTCCTGGGCTCAAGCTATCCTCCAGCCTCAGCCTCTCAAGTAGCTGGGAAAACAAGCATGCGTCACCATACTCAGCTAATTTTTTTATTATTTTTTGTAGAGGTGGGAATCTAGCTAAGTTGCCCAGGCTGGTCTTGAACTCTTGGCCTCAAGTGATCCTCCCACCTTTGCCTCCCAGAGTGCTAGGATTACAGACATGAGCCACTGCACCCAGCCACAGAGTTGGGTTTTTGAAAAGATCAAAACTAACAAACTCTTAACTAGATTAAAAAAGAGAGAAGATTCAAATTACTAAAAACAGCATTGATAGCTCAGTGATAGAATTTTTAAAAATTACTAAAATCTGAAATGAAAGAGGGGGCATTACAACCAGTGCCACAGAAATAAAAAGGATTAAAAGAGAATACTACCAACAATTATACCCCCAATAAACTGGATAACCTAGAATAAATGGAGTAATTCCTAGAAACCTACCAAGATTGACTCGTGAAGAAATAAAAAATCTGAACAGAACAATAGCTAGTAAGGAGATAGAATCAGTAATCAAAAACCTTTCAACAAAAAAGCCTAGAACAAGGTGGCTTCACTAGTAAATTTGGCCAAACATTTAAATAAAAATTAACACCAATCCTCCTCAGACTTTTCCAAAAAACAGAGGAGAGATAACTTATTTCAGCTTATTCTGTGAGGCCAGCATTACCCTGTGATATGGTTTGGCCGTGTGCCTACCCAAATCTCATCTTGCATTGTAGCTCCCATAATTCTCACGTGTTATGGGAGGGACCTGGTGGGAGGTAATTGAATCACTGGGGCGGGTTTTCCTGTGATGTTCTCATAATAGTAAATAAATCTCATGAGATCTGATGGTTTTATAAAGGGGAGTTCCCCTACACAGGCCTCTTGCCTACTGCCATGTAAGACGTGACTTTGCTCCTCATTCGCCTTTTGCCATGATTGTGAGGCCTCCCCAGCCATGTGGAACTGTAAGTCAACTAAACCTTTTTCCTTTATAAATTACCCAGTCTAGGATATGTCTTTATTAGTAGCGTGATACACCCTAATATCAAAGCCAGATCAAAAAAACTACAAGCAGCTGGGTGCAGTGGCTCATGCCTGCAATCCCAGTACTTTGGGAGGCCAAGGTGGGCAGATTGCTTGAGGCCAGGAGTTCAAGACCAGCATGGCCAACATGGTGAAACCCCATCTCTGCTAAAGATAACAAAAATTAACCGAGTATGGTGGCGTGCACCTGAAATCTCAACTACTGAGGAGGCTGAGGCAGGAGAATCGCCTGAACCCGGGAGGCAGGGGTTGCAGTGAGCCAAGATGGTGCCACTGCACTCCACCCTGGGCGATAGAGCGAGACTCTGTCTCAAAAAAAAAAAAAAAGGAAAAGTAAAAAACTACAATAAAACTGCCAACCAATATACCTGATAAATGTTGATGAAGAAATCCTCAACAAAATACTAACAAACTAAAATTCAACAGCACATTAAAAGGATATGCAGTCATCCCTTGGTTGACTACATGGGTGGACTGGTTCCAGGACCTCCCTTGGATACCAAAATTTGTATTTGCTTCCTGGCAACTGTGGGGTAACATTCTCTACACCAAACATCTCAAACTCAACTGTCTACAAGAGCCAAGTAAGTGCCCTAATGAGTGAAGTCGGCCAGGCAGGAACTGAGAATTATAGAAGGGAGGTGTCCACCGTCACCCTTGCTTGGAATGCAGCCCTCCAAGACCTGGTCTTACTATTTTTAAGAGAGCTGGTGATCCAACTTTCTTTTTTTTTAATTCATAGTTTTTTAATGTTTTTTACATCTTTATTTTTATGTATTTATTTTTATTTCTATAGGTTTTGGGGGAACAGGTGGTGTTTGGGTGCATAGGTAAGTTCTCCAGTGGTGATTACTGAGATTTTGGGGCTCCCATCACCCAAGCAGTGTACACTGTACCCAATGTGCAGTCTTTTATCCCTCGCCCACTTCCCACCCTTCCCCCTGAGTCCCCAAAGTCCACTGTATCATTCTTATGCCTTCGCATGCTCATAGCTGAGCTCCCACTTATATGTGAGAATATACATTTGGTTTTTCATCCCTGAGTTACTTCACTTAGAATAATGAAATCCCCATACACCTAGGTTCAGGGCTCCTCCCCAGGAAACTTCTGAGGTTTGGGGAGTCCCAGGAGAGAAGTTAGGAAACTCTGGCCTCCATCCCCTCCCTGTAGCAGCCAAAGTTCTTAGGGATTTAGAGGCGATTTTCTTTTGTCCTTTCTAAGAATTGACATCATTGGTCTCATCTAGACTTGCTTCAAGCCCTACTGATGAACCTTTGACAGAGTCTTCCCCCCAATCTGACTCTTCTCCATTTTTCCAGAAAAGGGATTAGATAGGAAAGTCACATACCCAGGGGCCTGCAGCCTGTGACTTCAGAACTGGAAGTCTAAACCCTACAGCCCCTTCTTCTTCTGAGCCACCTACTATTGTTGCAGAATTGTGTGACTGAGTCTTGTCTCCTTAAAACGACCGTAAACTCTTGAGTGCAAGGATTGTATTAGTCAGAGTAAAGCTATGCTGCTATAAAAAATAGTCCCTACATGCAAAGGTTCAATACAGTAGATGTTTATTTCCTGCTTACAAGGCAGTCTTCAGCATGTGTATGTCCATGTGGTCATTCAGGGATCCAGGCTCCTTGTGTTTTCTGGCTCCACCTCACCCTAGTTCCTAATCATCATCCATATCCACCTGATGGAATAGAAAATAGCGTGAGGTGTGTTCCCAGGAGGCTTTGCATGGGTTAGACCTGGAAGGCAAACACATCACGTCTGCTTATGTTCCATCTGGAAAAACATTTGAGTTGCCACAGCAAATTGCTAGTGAGAATGAGAGATGGAGTTCCCTGTGTCTCCAAGAAGGGTATGACTTTGGCAGAGCAGCTCTTCTGTTCCCTGACTTCTCTTTCTCCTGCCAGAACCCAGCACCGAGAGGGACCATCAGAGGATGTTCCATGAGAACTTGGTGAGGGTTGTGGAGAGGTTGGCTGGTGCTTCTCCGTCTTCATACAGATGTCCAGACAGGGGACCAGAAGTCTCAGGTCTGAGCTCTACCTGGAAGCCCCTCACGTCTGTAGCCATCAAACCTCCAGATAAGACGAGCCCTGAAGCATTTTGGTTGCATCAGAAAACAGATGGAAGGCCAGTCTTCACAGATGCATATACTTCATCCTGGCTTCCACCCACAGAGGTTGCATCTGTGCAGAAATTCATCCCAGAGCACCAGGCAGGTGGGTGTCAACTCCTGCTGAGATTTCGCTGTATCAGGAAACTCATGCATCTGGTGCAGATGTCCCGGAGTGGCTCTGACAGTCCAGGGCTGGGCAGTGGAGACACTGATGACAGCCTTGAGCAGAGTGGTTTTAGTAGAAATGGCAGAGACAAAAGCCAGGCTAGAGGAGTTTAAGGAAGGAACAGAGGTAAGTAAGCTAGAAATGAACTTTTCCAGTCACTTGGAAAAAATAAGACCAAAGATGATTATGCATATCACAACTGATACACACATAGCCCAGGGCCAGGTTCCCTCCTCTCTGGAACCCCTGATTCCTGCTGGTGCTGTTTTATCTCCCCAGGTAGCCACTGTGTCTTTATCTCCCTCCAGAGAAGCAACGCGCTCCAGACTCTGATGCACTGGAGGCAGGAGACAGCTGCAGGTGGTGGTGTGCTCTGGAAGAGTAGAAACAGAGACCCCTCATAGATACCCTGTCTTCAGAATAGACCTAGGCTCTTCACCCCACCACCCCTGCCACCACCCCCACCCAAGCCACTGCAGTGTCTTGCCCAGACAAGGGGCATAGCCAACTAACTGATCCCTCAGATCTTGCCCTGGTCCCCCTAAGATAACTCTTTATATGGCAGCTTTCTCCATCTTAGCACTTTGGGAGGCCGAGACAGGTGGACTGCCTGAGCTCAGGAGTTCAAGACCAGCCTGGGCAACATGGTGAAGTCCAGTCTGTATTAAAACTATAAAAAATTAGCTGGGCATGGTGGCGCACACCTCTAATCCCAACTACTGTGGAGGCTGAGGCATGAGAATCACTTGAACCTGGGAGGCAGAGGATGCAGTGAGCCGAGATGGTGCCACTTCACTCCAGCCTGGACAACAGAGCAAGACTCTGTCTAAAACAACAACAACAACAACAACAAAACAAACAAAAGAAGGAAGAAAGAAAGAAGGGAGGGAAGGAGGGAAAGAAAAAGGAAGGAAAGAAAGAGAAAGAGAAAACACTATAACAGAGATGATGAAGGCATTTGATGGGACCATCAGTAGACTGGACATAGATGAGGAAAAAATCAGCCTGAAGGTATGTTAATAGAACCTTCCCAAACTGTAATGCAAAGAAAAAAATGGGGAAAAAAACAGATTATACAAGAACTGTGGGATATTTTCAAAAGGTATATGCACAATTGAAACACCACAAGGAGAAGAAAGGGAGAACAGAGCAGAAAAATCGTGAAAGTTATAATGGCTCCCAATTTTCCAAAAGTAAAGGCAGACCCCAAGCCACGGATCCAGTAAGCTTAGAGAACACCAAATAGGATACATACTTAAAAAAAAAAATCAACACCTACATATATCATATTCAAACTGTAGAAAACCAGAGACAAACACAAAATCTTGAAAGAAGCCATAGAAAAAAACCCAGCTTACTTATACAGGAAACGAATAAGAATTACAGCCTTCTTGTCAGACACCACGCAAGCAAGAAGAGAAAAGGGTGAAATATGTAAAGTGTTGAAAGAGAAAACTGGCTGGGCACAGTGGCTCATGCCTGTAATCCCAGCACTTTGGAAGGCCGAGGTGGGTGGATCACGAGGTCAGGATTTCAAGACCATCCTGGCTAACACGGTGAAACCCCGTCTCTACTAAAAATACAAAAAAATTAGCCAGGCGTGGTGGCAGACGCCTGTAGTCCCAGCTACTCGGGAGGCTGAGGCAGGAGAATGGCCTGAACCCGGGAGGTGGAGCTTGCAGTGAGCCGAGATCGCGCCATTGCACTCCAGTTTGGGCGACAGAGCAAGACTCTGCCTCAAAAAAAAAAAAAAAAAAGAGAAAACCCCATCAACCTAGATTTCTATATCCAGCAAAAGTATCCTTCAAAAGTGAAGAAAACATTGTGTATGTAAAGGCTACAGAATGGTGGATTTTATGATGGTTTAAAAATGGTGACATCCATGTTATAGAAATTTTTTGCTCTCACAAAAAGAATGAAAGAGAAACAAAAACTTTTTGAGGGCCAGGCACGGTGGCTCACACCTGTAATCGCAGCACTTTGAGAGGCCAAGGCAGGAAGATTGCTTGAGCCCAGGAGTTTGAGACAAGCCTGAGTGACATAGTGAGACCCCAACTTTACAAAACAATTAAAAATTAGCTGAGTGTGGTGGCACGGTCCTGTAGTCCCAGCTACTTGGGAGGCTGAAGTGGGATCCTTTGAGCCTGAGAGGTCGAGGCTGCAGTGAACCATGTTTGGCCACTGCACTGCAGCCTGGGTGACAGTCAAGACCCTGTTTCAAAACAAAACAAAAAAAAAAATACTTTCTCAGACAAGCAAAAAAATGAGAGTTATTGCCAGCCAATCTGCCCTACAAAACATGTTAAAAGCAGCTCTTAAGGGAGAAGGGAAGAGATATAGGTTAGAAACTCAGATCCACATAAAGGAACTGTCAGGAAAGGAGTACATGAAGACAATAGAAAATCTTTTACATTTCCTATTCTTAGTTGATCTAGTAGGTAACTGCCTGGCTAAAGTAATAATAGTAACATTGTGTTGGGGTCCATAGTAAAGGATAGGTGAAATCAAGAATAGCACTCTTACAAGGGTGAGGAGAGAGGAACTGGGAATACTCTGCTAGAAGACAGCTGCACTGCCCATGAAGTGGTAAAGTGCAATTTGAAAGTGGATGTTGATTAGTTGCAAATCTATATTGCGAACTCTAGGACAATGAATTAAAATGTTTTGAAAGAAGTATAATTATAATGCTAGAAAGTAAAAAGAGTGGAATCATGTAAAATTCTCAGTTAAACCAGAAAAGACAGAAAAAGAAGGGAAGGTAAGAAAAACAAGGACAAGTGCACCTGCTAGAAAACAGCGGCAGACATGGTAGATATTAATCCAACTATCTCAATAATCACTTTAAATGTGAATGGCGCTAAATATACCAACTAAAACACAAAGACTGCCAGTAGATTAAAAAAAAAAGACCCAATGATATGTTGTCTGTAAAAAAACCCATTTTAAATATAAAGACACAAATAGCATAAAAATAAAGGTATAAAGAAAGATATACCATGTTAATACTAATCAAAAGAAAACTGGAGTAGCAGTATTGATATCAGATAAGGCAAACTTCAGAGGGAGAAAAATGATCAGGGATAAAGAGGGGCATTATATAATAAGAGGGTCAATACTCCAAGAAGACATTGTTAAATCCTTAATGTGT
Organism: Homo sapiens; assembly: GCF_000001405.40. Lineage (NCBI taxonomy): Eukaryota > Metazoa > Chordata > Mammalia > Primates > Hominidae > Homo > Homo sapiens. The sequence continues at coordinate 177,615,866 of NC_000005.10, read as the reverse complement.
ATGCACCTAACAACAGAGCATCAACGTATGTGAAGCAAAAACTAATAGAACTGCAAGAGAAATAGACAAGTCCACTATTATAGTTGGAGACTTCAACACTCTTCTATCAGTAATTGACACATTTAGCAGGCAAAAAAATCAGTAAGGATATAGCTGAACTGGACAATACTGTCAAGCCACTGAATCTAATTGACATTTACAGTATACTTCATTCAACAGAGTACATATTCTTCTCAAGCTCACAGGAAACATCCACCAAGATAGACTACATACTTGGCCTTAAGATACACCTTACAAATTTCAAAGAATACAAACCATATAAAGTGTGCTCTCAGAGGAAATTAAACAAAATCAAAAACAGAAACGTAGATGGGAAATCTCAAAATAACTGGAGATTAAACAAAACACTTCTAGATACCAGATGGGTCAAAGAAGAAGTCTGAACAGAAATTTTAAAATGTTTTGAACTAAATAAAAATGAAAATACAATGTATCAAAATTTATAGGAAGCAGTGAAAGTAGTGGTTGGAGATAAATTATAATATTGAATGCCTATATTAGAAGAGATTAAAAAGATTTAAAATTCATAATCTAAGTTTCCATCTTAGGAAACTAGAGAAGAAAGATCAGTGTAAGCCTAAAGCAAGCAAAAGGATAGAAATAAAAATTATAGTAGAAATCAATAAAATAGAAAACAAGAAACCAATAGAAAAATTCAGTGAAGTAAAAATGTGCTAATTTGTGCAGCAGCAATAGAAAAAAGAAATAAAAACAGTACTTTCACAGGTCAGTAAAATGTATAAACCTCTAGCTAAGCTAACTAAGAAAAAAAAACACAGATTGCTGATAACAGAAATGAGAAAGGGGTCATCACTACTGATCCCAAGGACATTAAAAAGATAACAAAAGAATATTATGAGCAACTCTGTACCCACAGATTTGACAGCTTAGGTGAAACAGATCAATTTCTTGAAAGACACAAACAACCAAAACTCACACAGGGAAAAGAGATGATCTGAATAGGCCTATATCTATTATGGAAATTGATAAATTATGGAAGTCAATAAACAACCTTGCAAACAAGAAAGCACCAGACCCAGTGGTTTTGTTGTCAAATCTAGCAAACATTATGGAAGAAATGGTACCAATTCTCTACATTCTCTTCCCAAAAAATAGAAGTGAAGGGAATACTTCCTAACTCATTTCATGAAGTTAGCATTTCCTGTATCAAAATCAGATAAAAACATTGGAAGAAAGGAAAACTACAGACCAATACCTCTCATGAACGTAGATCAGCGGTCTCCAACCTTTTTGGCAACAGGTACCAGTTTTATGGAAGATAATTTTTCCATGGGACATGGTGGGTGGGGCAGATGGTTTCGGGATGAAACTGTTGCACCTCAGATCATCAGGCATTAGTTAGATTCTCATAAGGAGCTTGCAACCTAGATCCCTCATATGTGCTGTTCACAATAGGGTTCACACTCCTGAGAATCTAATGCTGTCGCTGATCTGACTAGAGGCAGAGCTCAGGTGGCAATCCTGGCTCACCTGCCACTCACCTCCTGCTATGTGGCCTGATACTGTTACTAGTCCCAGGCCTGAGGGTTAGGGATCCCTGATATAAATGCAACTATTAGCAAAATATTAGCAAATTGAATTTATGAATAAATGTGAATCTGTGAATACACCACAATTTAACAGGATTTATTTCATATGTGCAAAACAGGTTTAACATTTTAAAAACCAACATAGGCCAGGTGTGGTGGCTCACGCTTGTAATTTTAACACTTTGGGGGGCCAAGATGGGCAGATCACCTGAGGTGAGGAGTTCGAGACCAGCCTGGCCAATAAGGCGAAACCCTGTCTCTACTAAAAATACAAAAATAAGTTGGGCTTGGCAGTGCATGCCTGTAGTCCCATATACTCAGGAGGTTGAGGCAGAAGAATCGCTTGAACCCGGGAGGCAGAGGTTGCAATGAGCCGAGATTGCACCACTGCACTCCAGCCTGGGCGACAGAGCGAGACTCCAACTCAAAAAAAAAAAAAAAAAAATTACTGTGCCTAATAGCTCCCTCAGCTACAATCCACTGCTGTTACACTGGAGCCCCGTTGATGTGGTGGTATGATTTAGGAAACGGGGAAGCACGTTTCTAATTTTATGATTAAATCTTGGTCTTTTAGTGCATCCGTATCCCTGGTGTCTTCACAGGTGTCTTAGCTTTGTCCCACCTCCTTAGGTGAGACAGGAAGGCTAGAGGCGGCTGGAGCTGGGTGACTGTCGTAGGGCCTCAGTAAGACAGGCTCTTTTTTCTTGTTATAGAGATCGCTCTTGGTGTTTTTATTATATTTATTTATTTATTTATTTATTTAGAGACGGAGTTTTGCTCTTGTTGCCCAGGGTGGAATGCAATGGCGTGATCTCAGCTCACTGCAGCCTTCTGCCTCTAGGGTTCAAGCGATTCTCCTGCCTCGGCGTCCCGAGTAGCTGGGATTACAGGTGCCCGCCACCATGCCCAGCTAATTTTTTTTTTATTTTTAGTAGAGATGGGGTTTTGCCAAGCTGTTTACATGTTGATGCTGAAACTGAAAGTTGCTGTTCTCTTTTTTTGTTTTGTAAAATATGTTCTCAAGGCATGAGGGCTGAGATAGCAAAAAGGCCATGTGTCCGTCCATTTGGCCTTTTGGGAAACAGTCTGCAGTGGAGTCGACCCTCCGTGAAGGGAAGGCCTGATGGCGTCTGATTGATCCTGCTAGGGAGGGCTCCTACTGGCTCTGGGGGTTTAGCATCCCCACGCCCACTCACCTGCCTCATTCTGGCTTCACCATCTCTCCCTTGGACTGGGTGCTCTCCTTCCTCAGACTCCACCCTGCAGTCCACCCTGGGTCCCCCAAAGGATCTTTGTTATCCCCCAAAGGATCTGTGTCATAGAACACAGGTAAGTGTTCAAAAGTTCTCCCCTGGCCGGGCTCACACACATAATTCCAGCACTCTGGGAGGCTGAGGCGGGCAGATTGCAAACATAGTGAAACCATCTCTCTACTAAGAAAATACAAAAAATTAGCCAGGCGTGGTCCCACATGCCTGTAATCCCAGCTACTCCGGAAGCTGAGGCAGGAGAATCTTGAACCCGGGAGGCAGAGGTTGCAGTGAGCCGAGATCGCGTCACTGCACTCGAGCCTTGGCCACAGAGTGAGAGAGGCCCTGTCTCAAAAAGAACAACAAAAAAAGTTCTCCCATGCTTGAAACTTCTCAAAGCCCCTGCACCCCTAGAATAAAGTACAAGTTGCTTAGTGTGGCATTCACAGATCCTCATGACTCACCCCAGCCTTCCCTCTGCTGCCCACCTCCCCACTTCTGCACAGTATCGTGGGTGCCAGGAACACTCCAGCTGCTCCTGGGTACCTGACACACATGCTGGCTCCAGGCTGCCTGCCTTTGCACATGATGATCCCTTCCCTTTCCTGCTGACAAATTCTCCACCAGCAAGACTTTGCCTCCTCGGGGAAGCCTTCCCCAAGCACTCCACACAGCTCTCATTTACAGTGCCACACTCTGGGTCCCACTAATGCCCCATCGGCGCTCCTCAGCACCCAGCAGCAGAATCCCTGTCTTCCTCGAGGCAGCGGAGCCTGAGGCAGATCCTCTGCATCTCCACCATGCCCCTGTTTTCCTCTCAGCCCTCCCCATCTGCCCTTTCCAGCAGGGGAGAGGAGGGAGGCCTGTAGGGAAGGAACACCTGCTCATGGGCACCTGCTGTACAGGGCAAAGGGGAAGAAACCTGGCTCTGAAAGTGGATTCCAGGGGTTCCCAATCCCAGCCCCCCATCCCTTACAGCTCTGCGACCTTGGGCAAGCTACTTGCCTGTCTGTGCTTTGCCTTCCTGATGTACAGAACCAGTGAATTAGGACCCAGCTCTTAGGTAGGGAGGCCTAAGTGAAATGCGGTGTGGAGAATTTGGTTATCTGGTGAATGTTCAACAAGGGATGGTTATTATTATTGCAACCACCGCCTCACTGGCCAAGCGCTGTGCCAGGTGCTCCTACATCCTGGGTAGGTTTCGGCCACGCCCTGGCCAGCAAGGCAGGGATGTCAAGTCCATTCCACGAAGGAGGCAAGTGGGGCACTGAGGCGGCACAGGACTGCCGCTTCTCGCCACCCATGGCTCAGGCGTCTCCCACTCTCCTGGAGAGTGGTGGAGGCCCAGGATGCAGAGTGAGGGGAGCTGCAGATTTGGAACGCGTCAGGCCCAGCCTGGAGTGCCCAGCACAGCCTTGAAGATGGAGGTGGGGGTGGCGGTCAAGGGAAGCAACAGGCTGCAGGGCTAGGGATGCACCTAAGCTCAGGTGTCAGCTGATCTCAGAAGGTGGAGGGACCTTCGCTTTTCTTCTGCTCATTGCACTCCCCCAGTGCAGGTGGAAAGGAAGGAACCTCCATTTTCTGAGGTCTTCCTATGTGACAGGAGAGTGCAGAGCTGGGAGCTTTGATATTACACCTGTTCCCACCAACTCCCAAGAGCTGGTGTTACTGCCTGGTGTCCATGTCAGTCCAAGATGAAGCAGCTGGGATTGTCCAGGGAACTGGCACAGTCCCCTCTCCACCACCCCTGCACTAGAGTCGAGGCCTGTCTGCCCATCACAATAGTGGGTGTGGCTGAATCGATGGGGAAGGTCAATTTAGGATCACAAAGACCCTGGACTAAACACCTGAACCTGAAGCTTTACCCCAGCCCTTTCTGCTTAAATCCCTCGGCTTATACACAGGTTACACAGTGCGCAACCCACACAACTGCACACAGCAGCCCTGATCATCCTCAGAGAAGTCTTTTGAACCAGAGCTGTGGATTCCACCTTCCTGAGCTCTGGGATGGTGCTCAGGAATCCCTTCCTTCAGGACTCCAGGTGTCCTGGTGTTAAAACAAACCCACATTACTGGGGCCTGATGGTCTCCTCTGCCTTCTGCCTTGCATCTTTGGCAGCCAAATGCCTTGGAGTGGCCTACATGCAGGGTCCCTTGCCTCCCACTCTCATGGGCTCTGGGCTTCCCTCCAAGTGATTCCCCCAAGAGCACTCCCCAGTTCATGTCTTCTCACTGCTCCTGGGCATTCAGTGACCACTGTAATCCCTCTGTGCTGAGGGAACACCACAGGGATCCTCCCACTTCTCCCCTTCTCCTCCCCACTCAAGCCATGACCCGAGGCACCGGCTGAGTGCCCTGCCTGCCTCTCTCCAGTCCTGTGGGTGAATCTCCTCAGCCACTCTCCCTCCTCCGTGTCTCAGTGAGGCCGGAGGAAGCTTACCCAGAGAGAGCCTGAAGGTGGTAAGACTGCTCAGAAGGGCATTCGGGGGCTGCCCAGAAGCCTTGGTGGGGTGGAGGTAGTACAGGAACCCTCACACCTTTGGCTTCTCCTCCCCCCTGGACTTGTCGTCCCCGCCCCACCCCAATTCCTTGCCAGCTTGTAACTCACCCGTCCCCTTGCCCCTCAGCCAAAAGTGACATGTGAGCGGTCCACGACACATTTTGTCTGGCCTGCCATACTTTTTGAAAGTTTCATTTAGGTGCTATCATTTAAAAAATCAGAAGATATCACTTAAGAATCCAGCATTCTAGTTTCTTTCGAAAAATCAGAAGATCTGGCAACACTAGGCCCACATTCCGGCATGGCAACAACCAGCTAGAGCGGTGCTGGCTGTTCCCCCTCTGTGGGGCTTGTGCTCTGGTTTCTGAAGTCCTAACCCTCACCAGGCCCAACTGCCACCTACGCCAGCTGCATGGCCCCTACACTGTGTCTCTGCACGAGGCAGCCCAGCAGGAAGGAACAAAAGTGGGGGTGATGAGAGGTTGTCCTGTTCAGCCCTCCCCACTACCCACAGGCCTGGGCACGTGAAGGAGGTCAGAGTAGGGTGAGCAGGAAGGCAGGGGGGGTCCCGGACAGGACACACCCCAGCCTCTCTCTGATCACTGTGCATGGCAAGCAGCGTCCCAGGCACCCCACGTGTCCTGGCCCAGCCCAAGCCTGCCTTGGCGGCCGGGTGGCTGCAATTGCGTAGCTTGCTGTCTTGGTCCTGGCCACTCCACATCCTGTCAGAGCTGGGCCCACGACCTGAGGCCTTGTCCTGAGCCTGAGCAATATGGCCTGTAGGTACAGGCTTCCTCACTGTCCATCCAGCTCAGCTGAATGTGCACCAGGGTGTGGCGGTCTTGTCACAGTCCAACATGATGTTGAGGACAGTGCAGGGGGCCCCGCCCACAGACAGGGCAGTGCGGGAAGCCACATGGTACTTCACAGTGTTCAGGCCTCCCTCCCTGTCCACCTTGAACTGCTCCTGGGGAGGAAGAGAGGAAAGAGCACGGACTCAGGGCTGCATGGGTGCCAGCTACCCACTGACCCCACACAACCTCGCCATCAGAGGTCCTGTGGTCCCCACTGGAGAGGAAGAACCCAGAGCTCAAAGCAGTGAAGCCTCTTGCCCAGGGCTGTGCCCCACTAGGAAGCAGGCGAGCCGGGATCTCCAGTTGGATGCATAAGCCTCCTAGAGAAGGGGCTGTTTGAGGGTGGGATCCCTGCATCCCGGGTGTGGCTGGGATTCTGGCACCTTCAGCTACGCCTCCGCCACCCCACCCTGCCAGCCTGCATGGACCCTGAGGTCTGGGCTGACCCACAGTGCCCAGGGTGCCCACAGCAGCCACCAGAGCAGGGCACGGTGCCCAAGCAGAATGCCCGTCGACTGACCTGGGCCAAGCAGGGGAGGATGGGACCATTTGGGCCAAGGAGAACTTGGTGAAAGCCCGGGCCTGCTGGCTCCCCACATGACCACCTATCTGTCCCCAATGAGGAGCCCTGCCAGCACCTGTTTTTGAGCTGCGATGCGCTTCTGGTCCCTCTTCCGCCAGGCTGGGTCATGCAGGTGGCGAAATGTCTTGTACCCAGTTGTGATTCCCGAGGGGCGGAAAAGCTAGGGAGGTCCAAGGAAGTCGGGGTCAGGCTGCCCTTCCTGGAGCCCCAGCCCTCACCACCAGCTCCCGAGGTCCCACAGGAAGGGACCTGCACTCCCAGCCTGCAGGAGAGGAGACTGGGGCCCACAGGGCAAGGAACTGGCTAGATGACCATGCAGGGCAGGGTTAGGGCAGGGATCAGAATCAGGGCCATCTCCAGACCCCAGGAGCTTCATCTGAGGAAACAGAAGAAAATCTCAGGGCAGCCACCGCAGCTGAGGTGGCGGCGGGGCCCGGGGAATCTCACCTGGAGCCCAGCTCCCTTAATGCGCCGGTAGAACTCGTCGTCCTCGCGGCCCCAGCCCCAGAAGCGGTTGGACATCCCATTGCACTGACACAGAGACAAGCAGCGTCACTCGGCCCATCTTCCCGGGGGGGGGGGCCTTTGGTCTCCTACCGCTCGGGAGTGCCCCTCTCCCCCAGCGCCTCTGAATAAGCCCCGGGTGCTTGCAGGCTCCTGCACTTCTGCAGTGCGGGCGGCAGGAAGCAGCGCGTCCCGGGCCCTCTCCCGTTCTCACGGGGCCTTGAACCTGTGTGAGAGGCTCACCTTCTCAAAAACGGCTGGCTGCCCAGAGGGGATCTCTGTGGGGAACTGTCGATGGGCAGAAGCGCCAGCTCCTACTTGATTTCTGCTTCCCCCATTCCCCTTTCTCCTGGTGGCCCTGCCCTCATCTCTTCCTGTGTGTGTGAGAGGGGTAGCAGGGTTCCATGACAGACACCCATTCTTGCACCTGGCTCAGGGGCTTCATTTACATAAAGCTGGCCCCTGCCATGGCCTGGAGAGGAGGACACCCAGGCCTGAGCCACAAGTGCTTCTTCCTGCCTGCCCGTCCACCAGCCAGTGACTGGCTGAGGGGTGGGCTCAGCACTCAAGCCGGCCAATCAAGAGCCAGTGCAGCTCACTGCGGGACTCCTGCCTGAGCTACAAGGGAAGGGCCCCATCTCCCACCAGCCCGGGGCCTAGATGGATACAGACTGCAGTAACAACCACCACCTTGCCAATAAACCCAGTGCAGGGAAGGAGAGCTGGGAGATGCACAGAGAAACAGGGTCCTGGTGACACTGTCTGAGAGGTGGGCAAGGTACACCTGAACCGCCCCTACACTCTTCAGTGTTAAGGGCCACTAACCACCCAGGTTTCTGAAGCCCCCGTGCAAGCAGTTCTGCTGCTGCGGCTGACTGGCTCGCCTGCTCTTCGCACTCTGGCTGCTCCCAAGTTCTCCTGCTAGGCCAGGGCAGGGCTCCATCTGCTGGGCCCCAGAGGCACTGCCCCATCCTTCCCACCACCCGCAGCCTGGAGGGAGCTCCCGGCTCTGAGCAGAGCAGGCTGTCCGGGCCTCACCAGCCGGTAGTGCTGCTTGGAGAGCAGCAGGATGCCGCCGACATAGGTCTTGTAGTGGTAGAGAGGGTGGAGCTCCGGGGAGGCCACGTGGAAGGGCCCAGCCTCAGGAAAGCCATAGTCCAGCTCCTCGTTGAGAGGGAGCAGGTCAACGTCGTGCATGGCAATGTAGTCCGTGCTGTTGCTGCTCTCCAGGAAGCCCACGTTGATGAGCGCTGCCCGGTTGAACCTGTGCAGGGTGGGCAAGGCTGGGCAGGGGCAGCACACGGGCTCACTGCCTGGGGCTCAGCACCCACCCGGGGGTCCCCATGGTGCCTATGCTGCCCTCTGGCCCAGCACTGACTTCACTCAGCCTGTGGGGCAGTCCCTCCACTCATCGCATATTTACTAAGCACCCACTATGTGCCAGAAACCATTCAAAGCACGGGAGGTACAGCAGTGAAAAACCAGGCCCTGTTCTCAAGGAACTGAGATTCCAATAGAAGGAAACAGAAACAAGCAAACACAAAGCGTGGCCAGCAGTGGTTCGTGCTGGGGGGAAAAGCAAAGCAGGCAAGGAGGGCGATCTTGCTGGGGGTGGAGGTGGCTCTTGTCCTCGGTGGGGCCGTCAGGGAGGGCCAGGGGAACTGAGTGACAGAAACCTGAAGGCCTGAAGAGATGACCCACAGGGCAGTGGGTGCCTAGGGCTCTGCATAGGAGAGATGGCACTGCCACGGCAGGAGGCAGGAGCAGACCAACGGGCAGCTGGGCAGGGCGAGGGCAGAGGTGGGGATGTTGGGGGTGACACAGTGACTGCACAAGGCCCAAGGGCCACTGAAGGACGGGGCTTTGACTCGGGTAAGATGGGTGCCATGGAGGCTCTGAGCAGGGTAGAGGCGTGCTGTGACTTATGCCTGGACAGGACCGCCCTAGCTGTTGTGCTGGAAGAGACTGTCAGAGCAGGGGTGAAAGCAGGGAGACCAGCTGGGAGACTATGGCAATGATTTAGGTGAGAGACCAAAAGATGAAGGTGGCCTAGCTCAGGAGGTGGCAGTGGCAACAGCGAGAAGCGGGCAGATTCTAGATGGATTTTGCTGACGAATAGGACGCAGTGTATGACAGAGAAGGAGCAGCTGAGGATGACCCCCGGGCTTTTGGGCTTGAGCAATGAGAGCAAAGAGCTTCCATTCCCATGGAGAAGAGGACAGAGCTACAGGTTTGGGGCAGGGCAGGCCACCAGCAATTCAGCTGTGATCATGGAAGCTTGCAGTAGCTCTGAGGCCACCACGTGGAGGGACTGTGTAGATGGCTGGGCTGTTGAGCCTGGAGTTTAGGAGAGAACTCCAGGAAACAGCCTCAGGAATCATCAGAGACGTGGTTTAATGCTGGAGATGACATGAGATGCCCCAAGGAACACCTGGAGTTAAAAAAGGGGGGCTGCCGAAGCACCGAGTCCAGAGAAGCCCCGATGGTGAGAGCTCGGGGAGATGAGCAGAACCCACAGACACAGAGGCCCAGCCAGTGCAGAGGGAGGACCAGAGGGTGCTGCCCCAAGCAGGGGCATTTTACGAAAGAAGATGCTGCTGGCAGGTCCACAGGATGAGGGCCCAGCATGGCCTCTGGACCAACAGAGTGGAGGAGGTGGCTGGTGACCTCAGTGAGAGCTGCTCTGTGCCATGGTGGGTGCAGGAGTCTGAGCGGAAGGGGTTCAAGAGAGACGAGGGGAGAGAAAGGGAAGGAGGTCTGCCAGAAAGCAGAGAAGGGTGACAGCCTCGAGGGATGTGGGATCCAGGGAGTCTTTTTCCTTTGAGAGAGGAGCCACTTCAGGGTGTGTGTGCTCATGGGTATGCTCCAGGAGAGGAACGCTGATCGAGAGGGAGAGGAAGGGCCCAACTGTGGGGTGGGGGGAAATACTGAAGGATGGGGATGGTGGGAGTCAGCCCGGACAGAAGCTGGAACAGCCTTGAGTCCCTGTGCACAGAGGCTGGCAGGTGAGTTGTGGAGGGAACTGGGGAAAGTTCTCTTCCATTTCATTCTGTTTTCTGAAATTGGAAGCAAAGTCGTCAGCTATGAGTGAGGACGAGGGATGAATGAGGAGAACAGATAGTTTTAAAGGCTGCAGTGGACAGACCAGAGGAAAGTGAGGCTCCCAGCAGGGCAGAGGGCCTTCCTGGCAGGGGCATCATCGGCATGGGGACAGCAGCATGGCCGCCTCACGTGTTGTCTTTCCTCTCCATACCCTCCAGTGCCCAGGCACAGGTGTGGAGCAGAGAGCTGGAGTAAATCAGGCTGGGATTACGCCAGCAGCAAGGGACCAGAGGCTTGAGGGAGTATGCCAGGGAGGGTTTTAATGATGGACCTTGGACTCCAGGTTGGGTAAGGAGGAAGTAAAGACAAGAAGGGTGGCAGGGAAAAGGGGGGGGTCTGGGGATCTGGATCAAGGGGACTTGAAAAGGTGGGAAGATCAGGCTGGTGGGGCTGAGAATCCATCTTCCAGTGGGAGTTACCTAGAGGGAAAGGAGGTGGGGGCTGGTGGGTGAGATCTCAGGCTGTGGTCATGGAAGGGAGCACTTTTTGGTAAGGGCAGGGATTTTAGGATAACGCCAGACTGTGGGCAACTTTAAAGCCGTGGCCTTGACCCTCCCTTTCCCTAATCCCCGGGCCAATCCCCAGGGAGTCCTGTCTGGGCTTCCTCCACAGCACCTCTCTCTACCCACCCCCCACCAGGCCATCAAGCCACTGTCACCGCAGACCACAGCAGTGACCACCTAACTGCTCTCCCTGCTTCTCCTCTTGCCCTGGTATAATCCATTCCACATACGGCAGCCACAGTGAGCTTTTCAAAATGGAAATTAGATCAGGGCCCTCTCCAAAGGTTCCTGTCACACCCAGTGAGAGGGGTCTGCCACCTCCCGCCCTCCTGCCCCTGCCCCAGGTGGCCTCTCACAGGGCCTGAGAAGCCTGAGCCCGGGCAGGGGTGCCGAGGGGAGAGGGTGGGGGCGGGCGCTACCTGAAGTGGTCCACCTGGTTGAGCACGTAGATGTGGTGCCGGATCTTCTTCCTGCTCAGGAAGCGGCGCATGTGGGGCACGAAGACCAGGAGCTCCTCGAAGCGTTCGCGGAAGGGCACCAGCACTGCCAGGCGGTGGGGGCCCCAGGATGCGTCTTCTTCCCAGTGCTCAGGGGGCGGCTCTGGGGGGCAGGCACGGGGAGGGCCCGAGGTCTCCTGCCCTTGTCCCCTGACTGCCCGGGCCACGTCCCCAGAGCAGCTGAGCTGCAGCCAGAGTAGGGAGAAGAAGCCCAGCGAGAGGCAGGCCACGAACAGGTGGAAGACGGAACACTTCCGAGGGAGGCCGCCGGAGAGCAACCCGGACCTGGAGCAAGCGCGGGACAGGGTCAGGAGGGCGGGGCAGGGCTGGCCCTGTGACAGACCCGTTCTCTGGCCTCCCCACGAGGAGGCTGCACATAACTCGTCTACCCCAAGCACCTGGGAATTAGTACAGAAGCAACTTTAATGTTTCTGCTCATGCCACTACCATGCATCCGAATCCTGCTTGCCTCTCTAGACCCAACCCATGCCACCCGCTCTCGGGAAGCCCTCTGAACCACTCCCAGTTCACAGAGCTGCCCCGGCTCCTCAATGCTCTCTTACTTTCTGTGACTGAGTCCTGGTCAGAGCTGCTCAGGGCAAGGATGAGGAGGCTCCTGTCACTTGCAGGTGCTCCTCCCCACGATAGTGGCTCAATGTCCTGAGCCAATGACAGGAGTCCCCACCTTAGAGATGCAACCCACTGCTTTCCAAACCCGCTCCCCTACAGATCCACCCCAGCAGAAACCGTGGCTCCATCCTGCTTCCAAGAATGACCAGAAAGGCCACCCAGACACGGGTGTGTGCTGGCATTAGTCCAGGTAAAATGACCAATGTTTACTCTGGGAAGATCAGACGTGCCCCCCGAAGCAATGCAAGGCCCAAACTGTCAGTGGCGGTTCACTGAACGAGCCTCAAACCTTTAGTCCAAGAGGCAGCTCATGATAAAAGATGGGAGATGGAGAGGGAAAGAAAGATGAGGGCTGGGTACAGCACAGGCACTGATTTCAGAAACTGGAAAAACAGCTGAACATCACAGACACTGGGGTGATGCCAGGAGACAGCCTTTTGGTTAGCAAATACAAAGAAACAGAATTCACCAGATTCCTTTGCCGCTCCTCTGGAAGTTCCTGAGTATGCTGAGACAGGAGCTGAGGAATCCATGAAGGGAGAAGCTTCCTCTGTACTCCCCCTACCTTCTCCCCAAAGTAATCTGCAAAGGAATCCACTTCACAATCTTAAGAGTCAGCGATTAGCTATCAGGTCTTATAAATTCTATCTCCTGGCCAGGCGTGGTGGCTCACGCCTGTAATCCCAGCACTTTGGGAGGCCGAGGCAGGTGCATCACGAGGTCAGGAGCTCAAGACCAGCCTGGCAAATATGGTAACACCCCATCTCTACTAAAAATACAAAAATTAGCTGGGTGTGGTGGTACGCGCCTATAGTCCCAGCTACTTGGGAGGCTGAGGCAGAAGCATAGCTTGAATCTGGGAGGCGGAGGTTGCAGTGAGCTGAGATCACGCCACTGCACTCCAGCCTGGGCAACAGAGCGAGACTCCATCTCATAAATAAATAAATAAATAAATAAATTCTATCTCCTAAGTCCCCCTCTGATCCTTCCTCACTCATCTGTTCCTTGCCCTGCTCAGACCCCTTCAGTCTTCTGAATGACCCTCCTCTGTTTGCCAGACAAAGGCCAAGCCCTTTGGCCTGACAGTCAAAGCCCTCCATGACCTGGCCCCAACTCCAGGTGCTCCCAAGCCTTCGCCCCATGTTCTCATGTTGGGCACCTCGGAGCTTCTCCACTTGCTATATTCCTTCCTGCTCCAGCCCTCACACAGCCTGCTCCTTCTGCCTGAAATGTCCTTCTTTATCTGCCTGAGGACCCCTGTTGATCCTTCAGAGCCGAACTCCAATGTCATGGCCAGCACTGCCCCCTGCCCCCATAATGCTCCCACTTTTGTATTCCCACGGCATCTTCCCACTTTTTTGTAATGCCTTGTGTCCTTGCTTCTCAGGCCGTGTCAGATTCTTATCTGTGGCCCCAGCACAGCAAGCACAGGCCAGACAGCAGAGAGCTTGCCAAGTGAGTTACAGAAAGGGGTAAGGCAGTCAGGGCATGCCTTAAGTCACATGCTAAAGCCAGACCAACTCCTCCCTTTTTCTAGAGAGACCGCCAACCTGGAAGCCAGTAGCCTTGCAGCCAGGCCCAGGTTCCACACGCAGCTGAGAGGTGGCCTGGTAGGAAACCCCCCAGGGCTTCTGACTTACCCCCCATTATCCTGTGGTGGTGGATTCAGCTGGGGAGGAGCACAGCCCAGTCCTGAGAGTGGTCTGGGAAGGCTGGAACCTCTACAGATTCTCCCTTGCCCTCTGGGCTTTTTCTGGGGACAGGGTAGAGACTGGAGAGATGGATATGGGGTGATATCCCACCTTCATGAAAAGAAGCAGTGACTATTATCCAGGGGAACGGCGTGGACTGGGTACTCCGAGCACGTCCACACGCTAATTCCCTCGGCCCTGCTCCCCTCTCCTATGAGGACCACATCCCCATGGGCATCATCCTGTGCTCTAAGAGCACAAACCGCAGAGCAACTGGATTGAACCCAGAGTCCCAATTCCTCAGGACAGTGGACACCGAGAACAATTGTTCCTGGTGCCACCAGGTGGCAAACCAGATTTGCAGTCCCAGTGGCTCCCAGGCCCAGGCCACCCTGGCTCTGAGGGGCAGTCCAGAAGAGGCTTTGTCTCCCTCATCAATCACTGCCCAAGACTAGTAAAAGGCGGATTCAAACCCAGGCAGGCTGGCTCCAGAGCCTACACTAGATAGCTACACTAGCCTGCATCAGTTGCGTGGATCTTTGCACCAACCCTGTGTCAAAAGCACAGAATTGACATCAGTAAATTTCTCTGGAAACAGCTATGGAAAAGGATCAGGAAATAGAAATGCTCCTCTGTTACCTTTCCTTTCTTGTCTCATACAGACCTTCGTACTACGAGGTTTGAATCCTCAGCTGCTCTGGTTACAGGACCTCAAAACTGCAAAGGTAACGGGAAGACAACTGGCACCTCCTGTTGTGCTAGGCAGTGCCATGCTCTTTACATGTGTGCGGTCCTTTAATCCTCACACAGCCCTGCAGAGCCAATACTGTCATAACTGGCTCAGTGACGGAAAGGCTGCGGTCGGACAGATGCAGGGGTCTCTGCTCACATAATTACGGAGGACTCCTGCCCAGGTCGAACGCTAGTCCACGCTTTCTATTATATTCCTGTTTTCCCCTTTCAACACCAAGTCTGAAAAATCCCCAAAAGTACAAGTTGTGGCCACTAAATTCCAGAATCTTATGGCACCTGACGGACTTAAGAAACATGAAGGAAATGAGGTGTCATTCACGAGGAGGAGATCCAGTCATGTGTTCTGTGAGAAGACTTACAGGGACACATCTCAAGTGCCCCACGAATGGAGGCAGTCAAATCGCTTTCCCCATTCTGCTTTAGTGAGAAACAAAATTAGCTAAGGTGTGGGCCAAGCTCGCATCTTTCACGTAGGGCCAATACAGCTGCACAGGAAATGGACTAATGCGTGTATAAGGAGTGTCTAGTACGTGCCAGGCAGTGACCAGCCAGGCAGAGCACGGAGCTTCTGTCTGGTGGGTTCTGCTGGTGGCCTGCGAAGGATGGGGGGAAGTGTTAAGGAGGAAGGGTAGGGTCTGAGGCTATATGGATGTGATGAGGAAGGCAGAGACCAGAGAAACGGAATACACGTCCTCAGGGATCAGAGACAAATTGAGAAACACAAATCCATGGTGAGAGGTCAGCGGAGTCAGAGACCCGCATGCAGATAGAGGGAGGCTGGTGGAGAAACACAGACACAACGAAACACATAACGAGAGAGACTAGCAAAGAGGGGATCAGAAACTCACAAAGGGAAGTCAATGGAGAAATACGGACCCACGGGCCGGGGGGAAGGTGCTGGGGGAAGGACGAGTGCCGCGGAAAGGGAGAGGGGGCGGGGGAGGCAGAGACCCACAGGGACAGACAGAAACCGGAACAGAGCGCCAGGGACCCACAGGGAGAACCACACGCCCTCACAGAAACCCGCAGACATGGAGACGTGATGGCCTCGGGTTCCCAGATTCCGCCGGCGGCCGAGAAGGGAGCGGCGCCCGGGAGGACGGGGCCCGGGCCCACCGCCGCCGCTCACCTGCCGTCCTCCCAGGGCAGCTGCGCCGCTTTCCTCCGCGAGGGGAACATCGTGCGGAGAGGCGGCGGCGCATGGGGCAGGCGCTCGCAGCCCGGCCGGCCCGGCCTCCCGGGCCTACGCGGCGCCTCCGCCTCCCGCTCCGCCCAGGCCTGTCCGCCCCGCCCCCCGGTCCGCCGGGTCCGCCGCTCCGGCCGCGCCGCCAGCTCCCGGAGCCGCCGCCTCCAAGGTTCTGCTTGCGAGCAGCGCGGGCGCGCCTCCCTCTCTGGGCGGCTCCTTCCTAGCCGCCCCGGGACCCGCCTGGAAGCCCGAGAAACTGAAGCCCAGAGGCCCAGGGCCTCCCAACAAATCACTGGGCTGGGACTGGACCTAAGAGTCCAGACTCCCAAACCAACGCTCGGGGAGAATCTGCATCTCCGTCCTCTTTCCGAGGGGAGGCGGGAGCGTCCCGGGGTCCCCGTCTCGGCCCAGGCGGCGCGTTCTCCGCGCAAGCTTGGAGGGGCAAAGCCAAGCTCACGGCTCGGCGCTGAGTTCAGCTGACAGCCCGCGCAGGCGTTAGGAGCCGAGCCCTGAAGACAAGTTGACTGAATTTGAAACCCGACTCTGCTTGCCGGGCGCGGTGGCTCACGCCTGTAATCCCAGCACTTTGGGAGGCCGAGGCGGGCGGATCACGAGGTCAGGAGAGCGAGACCATCCTGGCTAACACGGTGAAACCCCGTCTCTACTAAAAATACAAAAAATTAGCCGGGCGTGGTGGCGGGCGCCTGTTAGTCCCAGCTACTCGGGAGGCTGAGGCAGGAGCATGGTGTGAACCCAGGAGGCGGAGCTTGCAGTGAGTCGAGATCGCACCACTGCACTCCAGCCTGGGTGACAGGGCGAGACTCCGTCAAAAAAAAAAGAAAAGAAAAAGAAAAAGAAACTAGACTCTGCCAATTCAGCTGTGTTTTGACCAAGCCACATCTCTGCATCTGTTTCCTCACCTGGGTATATCAATGGCTCCTATTCTATATGGTAGCTGTGGGGATTCAAGGAGAAAGTGCAAACACTTGTGCAGCGCTAGGCACACAGTTCAACGCCATATAAATGACAGCTGTCATCCAGGAAAAGGGTACTTTGGTGGAGCTGAGAACTGAAGAAGGGAATAGGAGACTGAGTTCCCATATCTGCCCCGTCACCGTGGGAACTTAACCATCCCCCTCACCCCCAGCCCCCCCACCCCTCCTACTAGCCTCCTACCTGGGGAAAGAAAGCGGCAATTGTTAGACTTGACCTCCTCTGCTCTTCCAGGCAAACTTTTAAGTTTCCTAATAGATAGCAAACATCTATTAAGTTCTTATTATGTGCCAGTCATTGTTAATAGTTCTTACTACATGAGGGTTATCTCACGTAGTCCTTATCGGTAGGTGCTTATCCCCAAGTTAAAATTGAGAGAACTGAGGCACAGAGAGGCAAATCAGGTAGTTTGGTTGCAAATCTATGGGTTTGGGGTTTTTGTTTTGTTCTTCCCCACAATCTATGATCTTAATCACTCTGCTCCAGAGAGAACTTCACCGTGGGTGGGAAATGAATCATTCCCAGTAACCCCTTTACCCCGTAAACCTGGAAGTATATAATCCACCCATTCCCCTTCCTGTTGACTCCCCCAGGGCACTGCATCCTACCCCAGAACCGTGGTCAATGCACAGCCCATCTAAAGGGGACCACTCCATCCGGTTAGCTGTTACTATATCAGGATGAAGCTCTACTTCAGATTGTCAGATTCACACTCTCAAGAAATCAGATCTCAAATGAAAACCCAAATTATCTAATTTTTAAATGTGATATCCAGCTAAGAGCCATGTTGATAATGACACTTCAACTCTGATCTCTTTTCTACTTTTTTATTTTATTTTATTTTATTTATTTATTTATTTTTTGAGACAGAGTCTCACTCTGTCAGTCAGGCTGGAGTGCAGTGGCACGATCTCGGCTCACTGCAACCTCTGCCTCCCGGGGTCAAGCAATTCTCCTGTCTCAGCCTTCCGAGTAGCTGGGATTACAGGCGCCTGCCACCACGCCTGGCTAATTTTTGTATTTTTAGTAGAGACGGGGTTTTACCATGTTGGCGGCTGGTCTCGAACTCCTGACCTCAGGTGATCCGCCTGCCTCTGCCTCCCAAAGTGCTGCGATTACAGGCGTGAGCCACCATGCCCAGCCTGTGGTCTCTTTTCAAAAACCCACAACTCTAGTCTAATCATGAGAAAAACATCAGACAAATCCTAGCTGAGAAATCGTACAAAATACCTGACCTGTACTCCTCAAAACAGTCAAGGAATCATCAAAAACAAGGAAGGTCTAAGAAACTGTCACAGCCAAAAGGAGCCTAAGGAGACACAGTGACTAAATGTGATGTGGAATCCTGGAACAGAAAAAGGACAGTAGGTAAAAACTAAGGAAGTCTGGATAAAGTAATGCATGATGTTACTAATAGGGAAAATGTCTTCACAATTTTTCTGCACTTTTAAAGCTGTTCTTTAAAAATACTTTTTTTTTTTTTTTTGACATGGAGACTTGCTCCGTTGCTCAGGCTGGAGTGCAGTGAAGTGATCTCGGCTCACTGCAAGCTCCGCCTCCTGGGTTCACGCCATTCTCCTGCCTCAGCCTCCCAAGGAGCTGGGACTACAGGCGCCCACCACCACGCCTGGCTAATTTTTTGTATTTTTTTTTTTTTTTTTTTTTGTAGAGATGGGGTTTCATCATGTTAGCCAGGTTGGTCTCGATCTCCTGACCTCGTGATCTGCTCGCCTTGGCCTCCCAAAGTGTTGGGGTTACAGGTGTGAGCCACCGCTCCCGGCCTTTTTTTTTTTTTTTTTTTGAGACAGAGTCTCACTGTAGCCCAGGTTGGAGTGTAGTGGTGTGATCTTGGCTCACTGCAACCTCTGTCTCCTGGGTTCAAGCAATTCTGCCGCCTCAGCCTCCCAAGTAGCTGGGATTTCAGGCATGCGCCACCACACCTGGCTCATTTTTTGTATTTTTAGTAGAGATGAGGTTTCACCATGTTGGCCAGGCTGGTCTCAAACTCCTGGCCTCAGGCCATCCACCTACCTCAGCCTCCCAAAGTGCTGGGATTACAGGTGTGAACCACCGTGCCCGCCAAAAAACTTTTTTTTTTCATGTGGAAGAATTAGTTGGCAGCATGAGCCCAGATTGCATCATCCCATTAGGGGAAGCAGCCCCCAAACTTGTCTCCTTCTTCCTGGTCTTTCTCACACACTGCTGTAACCTCCCTCACATTTCTTATTAGAAGGTTCTTCTCAAAACTGCCTGCCCATTTGCCTCCCCCAACCCCCAACAGCAGCCTCACATCCCTGATCAATAACACTGTGATTCTGAGGTGCCAGTAGGGCTCTCAGTGGCTTTACCAGACCCTGGGTGATTACTGCAAAGGGCCCAGAGGCCAGAGGGAGGGGGGCAGGCATTTACCCCACCACCTGCTCAGTATTAAGCCAGCCAAGCTGCTGCCTTCAGCTTGTGCCTGTGGGTGCCTGCAGCCCCTCTTGAAAGGTGGGCATGTCCAAATCGCTTACCTGGAGCTCGAGGCTTCTCTAATCCAACCTTCCTTTCCAGCTTCCTCACAACACCCTCTGCAGCTGAAATTAAACACCCACCCACCTCCATTCCAGCTGTTTGCCTCCACTTCTCCAACCACCCCTGTCCTGCCATCTCCTTCCAGCAGAATCCTTCCTCTCCTTCATGGTCCTGGTTGAAATCACTTGCTGTTGGTTTAGCCCATCAACATCCTTGTCCCTGCCAGCCCAGGGTGGCTGTCCTGTAGCACTCCCCTGCTCAATGCACCTCCTTACCAGGCACTTCCTGGCAGCATCCATGACAATCCTGCTTACTGACTCTAGAAAGAGGGAACTTCACCAGGGAGCTGGCACAGAGGAAAGGGTGTAAATTTGAGCCCCAGCCCAATTTACTTGTTGTATAATCTTGGACAAACCCACTATTCCCTGCCACAGGAAGGCCTGGAGAAGAAGGAAAGAATGAAGCTGACTGGTGGGAATTCACTTTGGAATGTGAAGTGCTTTGCTCTTTGGAAGAACTGGCATTCCCTGAGGCACCCTGCAGTGTGTGCCCACTGATGACTGAGTCACTTGCACTGGACAAGAAGTCATTTTTTTTTTTATTGGGAAACTCATGTAACAAACCTACATTTATTGAAAATGAAATCAGTAACTAAGACTCTGCAGGCCCCACCCCAACCAGCACCAAGGCCTCTACTTGGTCTGGTCCCAGTTCTTTAAGCCCCAGAATGGACAACCATGTGAAGCAGCTCAGGTCAACTGCAGGGCCACATTCCCACACTGCAAACCCCTCCACCCACCCTCAACTCACACACACCCTGGATCAGCAGGTCTAGGCTGAAAGAGAGAACAGTGAGGTTCCCAGGGTGGCAGGTGGGTATGACAGGCACCATACCCCAACCTGCTCAAAACCCTAAGTTAGCAAAGGAAGACAGAAGACTGGCTTGCCTGCCCATTCCCCTCCCCCCACCCCCAACAGCAGCCTCACATCCCTGATCAGTAACACTGTGATTCTGAGGTGCCAAGAGGAGGGGCTTTACCAGCCCTTGGGTGATTACTACCAAACGGCCCAGAGGCCAGAGAGAGAGGGCAGGAATTTGCCCCACTACCTGCTCAGTATTAGCCAAGCTGCTGCCTTCAGCTTGTGCCTGTGGGTGCCTCCAGCCCCTCTCCCTTCCAGAACAGGTATGGCTGGAAACCAGTCCTCCTGACAGAAGAAGTCAGTTCCAGGAGGTCCTTTCTCCCCCAGCCTGGGAGGATGGGTTGTGACGCCTGGGACAGCTACACAAGCTTCTTGGCTTCAAAGAAGCTCTTGAGGTGCCGCATCTGCCAGACACCGATGGCCACGAGGATGAGGGTCTGCAGAATGGACCACCACAGCACCCGCTGGTTGGTGCTCTCACTGGTCTGCCGGAAGCGCTCCTCTCGCCACTGCAGGGGAATATAAGGTGAGCCTGAGTTGGCTGGGGCTGCTAGAACTGCTGATTCCCAGACCAAGAGGATGCCCAAGGTCAGCCAGCTTTGCCCAGGTTCCAGCCAAGTGCCTGCAAAGTGTCACTCTACCTGGGGACTATCTTTACCCTCAGGCAACCTACTCATTCTCCCAAGTCTGTTTCTTCATCTGTCAGGCATAGCCCTCACCTAGTCCTGCCCTGGTGCCTGGGAGAGAGGTAAGGTAGTTGTGGTATCACCCCACGAGGCAGAGCTGTCCTGGAGCACACAGGAGTGGACTTGCTCTAAGCCCTCTGCCTAGGTCTCCCACACTGCTCCTTGAAGATGGTGGGCACAGGCTGTAAACTGGCAGGCTGGGGGCTGGATCTGGCCTTTAGGTATGTTTTGTTGGCCTCACACAGTGCACAGTCTTTTGTCAACATTTAAAACACAGGTAATTTGTGCAGCAGCAATAGAAAAAAATAAAAAATAAATTAAAATGTTCGCATAAAAATCCTATTTCCTCTTGAAAAAATGGAACATCTGTAAAGCCAGGGCTGGTATTTCTGCAAGGAAGCCCCCAGGTGACACTGAACAGTGGCTGTGCTTGTTTAGATGGGTCACTGCCCTACTAGTCCTTAAGGTCACAGATTCACTTATGGTAATCTCTGGTTCCTGGTCACCGGTAAGTTTGAGACCCTGGTCCTGGGAGCATGTGGACCCACTGAAACAGCACCCAAGGTGTTGGTATCAAATGCTACTGTGCCATTCTGTGTGTAACTGTGATTTAGGGCAATGACAGCCTCTTACGAGTCTGTATCCTCAATTACAAGGTCGAGTTAGTAATACCCGCCCCACGACCTACAATGCAGTGCAGGTAAGTCCCTTGGGGGTCTCAGAATGAATTTAATGTGAAATTCCTGGCTGAGCCAGTGGGCAGCTTCTAGGGAGAAGCCCACTGCTCCCGGCCCAGTCACTCACCCGCTGGTAGTTCTGCTCTTTCTGGATCTGCTCCACTTGTTCCACCAGCTGTCGCACTCGTAGCTGCAACTCACTCAACTTGTCTTTAGCAGCAATTTCTGCATAGTCATTGGCATGTTCACCTACCTGGATGTCCAGGTGAACTCTCTGAGGACAGACAAAGGAGATAAGGGAAATCTGGTAGCCCTGCTCCATCTTCCTGCCAGAGACTGACAGCTCATCCCCGACTTTCCTTCATCTGTTCATTTAGCCAACAGACTGGGCCCTCTTCAGTGTCTTAGCCCCATGAGGCTCTGGGCACACAAGCAAGTATTAAGCCTGGGCTGGTGCTCTGAGTGAGGCATGTACAAAGAGCTCAGTCACTGTGTCCTGGACATCCAGTGGAAACCCAGTGTTCTTAGGAGACACAAAATCTGACATAATCCTCTCACACCCACAGCACCACCAGTCCCCCAGTCCTCACCAAAGGATGAAGGCTGAAACCTGCAAGTCTCACATGGGCCCACTTACCAGCATGCCTCCAGCAAAGAGGGAGAACTTGGTGGAATTGGAGTGAAGACAGATCTGGTGCTCACCAGGGGTATGGGAAGTGAAAGTGAACCTGCCCTCGGAGCCATACTGCCGGGCCAGGATGACCTGGAGGAAGGTAACAAGCTTCAGTCAGTATTATGGTAGGGATGGGAATGGAGGAAAACAGTGCTTAAGGCTCTAAGTACTGCAAAAGTTGACAGGCACAGCCTTTCGCACCTCACAACACTGAAAGATTCAAAGCTGCTCAGCAGCTGTTGCCATATGCTTGTGTGAGAACTCTCTGGGGCAGGTGTTTAGACTCTGAGAGTCTGACATTAGGGTGGCAAGTGACTGACTGCTCTTGGGAAGGGCTTTCCTTTATAGCTTATGCCCTTTCAACTTTTTTGGTGTGAGTTGTTTTTTGGGGGGTTCTTTTTTGTTTTTGTTTTTGAGACAGAGTCTCACTCTGTCGTCCTGGCTGGAGTGCAGTGATGCTATCTCAGCTCACTGCAGCCTCAGCTTCCCAGGTTCAAGCAATTATCGTGCCTTAGCCTCCCAAGTATCTGGTATTAGAGGTGTGCGCCACCACACCCGGCTCATTTTTTTTTTTTTTTTTTTTTGTATTTTTACTAGAGACGGGGTTTGCCAGACGGAGGTTGCCCAGGCCGGTCCTGAACTCCCGGCCTCAAGTGATCCACCCGCCTCGGCATCCCAAAGTGCTGGGATTACAGGCAAGAGCCACCACACCCCGCCATGAGTTTTTTAACGAAAAGTGACAGAAGGTGAGAGCTGAAGGGTTTTGCCGTTCGTTTTAATATCCTTACTTGGGAAGATTAAAAGCTGCTCATTTTGTGGGGAAAGTATCATGTTCTGTGAAATCTTAAAGTCTAGATGACTTTAAGAGTTGACAAAACTCTTTGATTTTTATCACCACAATTAATCCGCCCATTTCACAGACCGGGCGGGGTCTGCAAGTCAGCAGGATATTCCCACAACATCAACTGTCTCTCCCACTTTAGCAGATGCAGGAACTAGAAGAGGAAGTACCGGAGCCCGCCTAGCTGAGAGGCTGGCGGAGAGGAGGGGGGCGGTTGGCTCACCTTGTCCTCTGGGTCCTTCACCTCCACAAACATGCCAAGCCCCGGGGTGGCCGGCTGGTACTCCTCCCGCTGCTTGTCATACAGCTGCGTCCGGTAGTTTCCTTGAGGGAAGCAGGGCGAGCCCAGGTCAGAGGAGCGCGAGGTGGCATGGGTTCCGCGACCGCCTGGGCACGGCGAGGCCGTCTCCTCCCGGCTCTAGAGAGCTGACTGTCTCGCATCCCCCGCCCCAAGACCACGGTCACGTTCCAAACTCGCCCCTTCCTCCCCGCCCCCGCACCTATGACCATGGTCTCGTCCGGGATCTCCTCAATAAAGCACTTCTTCTCCGTCTCTCCGATGTGAAAGTAGAGCGCGCTTCCGCGCGTCGCCAGCCACAGCACCAGCAGGAGGGTCCGCATCACTCTACCCAGCCCGGTTCCGGGCCGGGGCCGGACGAGCAGCACGCCCAGCTCCACAGCCATCTTGCTCCACCTGCCTGCGCAGCCGCAGCCGGCCGCGCCACGTCGCCCTGCCGCCGCCGCGGTGCCTGCCGGGACCGCGAGTTCCGCCGGGTGGACCACAAATCCCGAGATGTCCCGCGGCCCTGGCGCGGCAGTACCTGATTGGGGCGCGGCTTTTACCTGAGAGAGAGCGGGTGCCCTAGAATAAAAACTTATTTCCGTTGACTCTCTTCATGGCCTGGCAACTGACGATGGTTACCAGCTTTTCATAGATGAAACTGAGGTCGTTTGTTTGAGGTTGCGGAGCGAATTGCGAACAGAGACAGGATTCGAACCTAGGATCCCTGACTTTCCTTGGCACAGCATCTACCAGTCTTGATTTGCTTCTACCTTTAAAAATGAATTTAAAGAGAACGACCAAATAATGCACAAATGTATTATCAAAAAAGATTAAAAGAAATAAAAGGCAAGGTCTCCCATTACCACTTCTTTGTCCTCATACCCTGTCCACTCCTAAATCGGGTGTTACCCTCTCAAGCATTTCTCCGATCACACACACACACAAACACACACACAGCCTCTGCTGCCAGATCCCAACTGCAATGGCTCGTTACTAGCAATTCTACAGAAATAGAAAGGATCATAAGAGAGTACTATGAGCAAATATAAGCCAACAAATTGGATAACGTAGATGAAATGGACAAATTCATAGAAATGCAAAACTGACTCAGAATAGATAATATAATCTGAATAAACCTATAACTAGTGAGGAGATTGAATCAGTAATTTAAAAAAAATCATCCTTACTTAATATAGTTAAGATGTCAATACTATCCAAAGCAATCTACAGATTTAATGCAATTCCTGTCAAAATCCCAATGACATTTTTTGTAGAAACAGAGAAACTCATTCTACAATTCATATACTCTCAAGGGATTTCGATTAGCCAAAACAATCCTGAAAAATAAGAATAAAGCTGAAGAACTCACACTTCCTGATTTCAAAACTTACTTCCAAGCTTCAGTCATCAAGACAGTGTGGTACTGGCATATAGACAGACATATAGACCAATGGAATACAATAGAGAGCCCCAAGATATGCCCTCCCATATATGGTCAAATAATTTTTAACAAGGAGACCAAGCCCATTCAATGCGGGGAGGAGGGACAGTCTTTCTAACAAATGGTGCTGGGAAAACTGGATATCCACATGCAAAAAAGTGAAGGTGGTTCCTTCTCTAACACCATAGATAAAAATTCACCCAAAAAGACCCACAACTTTTAAAATCCCAAAGCATAAAACTCATAGAAAACATATGGCAAAGGGTTTACCACATCGGATTTGGCAACAGACTTCCTGGATATGACACTAAAGGCACAGGCAACAAAAGAAAAAATAGACAAATTGGACTTTATGAAAATTAAAACATTTTGTGCATCAAAAGACTCTGTAGCAGAGTAAAGAGGCAACCCACAGAATGGAAGAAAATATTTGCAAATCATATATCTGACAAAGGATTAATATCCAGAATATGCAGAGACTCCTAAAACTCAGCAACAAAATAAGAACAATCTCATTCAAAAACCACAACAAAGGGCTTGAATAGACATTTCTCCAGTGATCAACAAGTGGCCAGTGAGCACATGAAAAGATACTCAACATCACTAATCATTAGAGAAACACAAATCACAATGAGATAAAGAACAATGAGATACTACGTCATATACCCATTAAGATGGCCACTAGAAAAAAAAAAAGGAAAAGAAAGAAACTACAAGCATTGGCAAGGATGTGGGGAAATTGAACCCTTGTGCACTGTTGGTGGGAATGTAAAATGGTACAGACACTGTGGAAAACCGTATAATGATTCCTCAAAAAAGTGAAAATAGGCTGGGCATGGTGGCTTACGCCTATAATTCCAGCGCTTTGGGAGGCAGAAGCAGGAGGATTGCTTGAGCCCAGGAGTTCGAGACCAGTCGGGGCAACATGACGAAACCCCATCTCTACAAAAAATACAAAAATTAACTGGATCTGGTGGCATGCGCCTGTAGTCCCAGCTACTCAGGAGGCTGAGGCAAGAGGATTGCTTGAGCCTGGGAGGTCAAGGCTACAGTGAGCTGTGATCATGCCACTGCACTCCAGCCTGGGTGACAAAGCAAGACACTGTCTCAAAATAAATAAATAAAAATAGAATTACCATATGATTCAGCAAGTCCATATCTAGAGATATCCTCAAAATAATTAAAAGTAGGGTCTCAAAGAGATATTTGTACACATATGTTCACAGCAGCATTATTCACAAGCAAAAAAAAAAATGGAAGCAACCCAGTTCTTCATCAGTAGATGAATAGATAAGCAAAATATGGTACATCCACACAATGGAAATCCTTTCAGCCTTAGAAAGGATGGGAATTCTGACACATGCTACAACATAGATGAATCTTGAAGAAACATTACGCTAAGTGGACTAAGCCAGACATAAAATGATAAATACTGGGTAATTCCATGTATATGAGGTACTAGAGTCGTCAAAATCACAGAGACAGAAAGCAGAATGGTGGTTGCCAGGGACTGGAGGACAGGGAGAGTGAAGTTATTGTTTAATAGGTATAGAGTTTCAGTTTTCCAAGATAAAAAGAGTTCTGTAGATGGATGGTGGTGAGAGTTCTATGGCAATATAATGTACTTAATCCCACTGAAGTGTACAGTTAAAAACAGTCAACTTTGGCCGGGCACGGTGGCTCACGCTTGTAATCCCAGCACTTTGGGAGACCGAGGCGGGAGGATCACAAGGTCAGGAGATCGAGACCTGCCTCACCAACATGGAGAAACCCTGTTTCTACTAAAAATACAAAATTAGCCTGTGTGGTGGCACATGCCTGTAATCCCAGCTCCTCGGGAGGCTGAGGCAGGAGAATTACTTGAACCTGGGAAGCAGAGGTTTGGTGAGCTGAGAAGGCACCTTTGCATTCTAGCCTGGGCAACAAGAGTGAAACTCCATCTCAAAAAAAAAAACAAAAGTGTGGTAGAATGCTCCAGTGTAATCATCTGGGCCTTGAAATTTCCTTTTGGGGAGTGTTTTAATTATGAATTAAATTTCCTTAATAGCTATAGGGCTATTCAAAGTATCTATTTCATACTAGTAAGTTGTGATAGTGTGTGCTTTTTGAGTAATTGATCTATTTTGCCTAAATTGTTACATTTATGTATGTAGAGGTTCAGTCAGGATGGTGGGGAAAATTATACAATAAAACACAAAACTTGGAAGGCCAAAAGGTTTTTGCTTAGCTTCAGATAGTTTGGCTGAAAGCGGCCTAATCCTCTTTGAGCCATAGCAAGGGTAAGTAACATAGGAATGTAGAGGAGTCTATCTAAATAGCTTGTTTACTCATGTGGTTCTAAAAGTAACCTTTAATCATTCGCGGGCAGGATGGCGCTCTGGGGGAGGCAGGGGAAGGCGACCAGGTTGATTACCCTCTAATGGTGTTTACTTGAGACTTTTGCTGTGTTTAATGTGTGCTAAGTAAATGACGAGAAGGCCAGCGAGTAGGAGGCGGGGAGTCGGGGCCACGTTGCAAATGTACAGCACTCTCCTGGGAGTCTGTAGGGGGCCTGGACAATCGGCCTGACTGACAAGCAGAATATCTGTGTCAGTGTACATTATTCATCTGTCGTTGAGTTGAGGTCTGCAGCACACACCCCCACATATGTATGTAAAGTTGTCCGTGGAATTATTCTCTTATGATCCTTCTGATGTGGGCAGGGTCTGTACTGATGTCACCCGTTTCATTACTGATACTGGTGATTTATGTCTTCTTTTTTCTGTATCAGTCTTGTAAGAGGTTTGTCAATTTTATCAGTCTTTTCAAAGAATCAGCTTTTTGTGTCATTGATTTTCTCTGTTGCTTTTCTGTTTTTAATTTCATTGGTTTCTGCTTGTTATTTTTTCCTCTTCTGCTTGCTTTGGATTTAGTTTGTTCTTCTTATTCTAGTGACTTGAAGTAGAAGTTTGTGGGGTTTTTTTGTTGTTTTGTTTTGTTTTGATTTTTGAGACAAGGTCTCACTCTGTCACCCAGGATGGAGTACAGTAGCAACATCTCGGCTCATCGCAGCCTCCACCTCCCAGGTTCAAGCGATTCTCCTGCCTCACCCTCCCAAGTAGCTGGGATTACAGGCATGTGTCACCATGCTCTGCTAATTTTTGTATTTTTAGTAGAGATGGGGTTTCACCATGTTGCCCAGGCTGGTCTCGAACCCCTGACCTCAGGTGATCTGCCCTCTTCAGCCTCCCAAAGTGCTGAGATTATAGGCATGAGCCACTGCACCCGGCCAGAAGTAGTTTAGATTATTGATTTGAGACTCCTCTTTTAGTTAGGATTTTGGTTGTACCTAGCCAGAGGAATGGAGAAAAGTATGTCTATATCATCTTCTCAGAAGCAGAAGTCCTAAACTATCAGGTATGTTTTAAAGAACAAAATTATTACAAATAAAATTAAATCCTTATTCCCTCCATCCCTTTCCAGATGCAGCTACTTTAATAACTTTGATTTATATCTATTCCACTAATAAGATATTTTAAAAATAGGCCGGGTGTGGTGGCTCACACCTGTAATCCCAGCACTTTGGAAGGCTGAAGCAGGAGAGCTGCTTGAGCTCAGGAGTTCACGACCAGACTGGGCAACATGGTGAAATCCTGTCTCTACAAAAAAATACAAAAATTAGCCGGGTGTTGTGGCTCGCACCTGTAGTCCCAACTACTTAGCCAGGCGTGGTGGCACATTCCTGTAGTCCCAGCTACTTAGGAGGCTGAAGTGGGAGGATTGCTTGAGCCCAGGAGGTCAAGGCTGCAGTGAGCTGTGATTGTGCCACTGTACTCTAGCCTGGGTGACAGTGAGACCTGTCTCAATAAATAAATAAATAAAAATTAAAAGAAAGAAATTATGGACCAGGTGCAGTGGCTCACGCCTGTAATCCCCACACTTTGGGAGGCCAAGGTAGATGGATCACCTGAAGTCAGGAGTTCGAGACCAGCCTGGCCAACATGGTAAAGCCCCGTTTCTACTAAAAATACAAAAATTAGCCAGGCATGATAGCACACACCTGTAATCCCAGCTACTCGGGAGCCTGAGGCAGGAGAATCACTTGAACCCGGGAGGCGGAGGTTGCAGTGAGCTGAGATCATGCCACTGCACTCCAGCCTTGGCGACAGAGTGACACTCTGTCTCAAAAAAATAAAATAAATTATGGCACACTTCTATAATTAAATATTATATCGCCATGAAAAAAGAATGGCCATCTGGTTATCAGTAAGAAATTGGTAACTATGCCTGCTTATATAAAAGAGGAACAGGGGTTTGGGGAGCTATTGTGGGAGAGGAAGCTGCTTTGTAAATGTTTTACTGAAGCATAAAAAAAAGACAGAAAAGTGCATAAGCTAAATGTTTACCTCTCAGTGAATTTTCATAAATTGAACACAATTTGTGAAAATACCAACACCAGATGCCATAAATGTGTATAGTTGCTGTCTCTGCATCTATTTTTGGGTCTGGCATAAGTTGTCTGAAGCCCAGCCATACCCTTTCACCTTTGGCCTAGTTAAAACTTCCCGTCCCCATGTAGTTGCCTCTGATATAATTCACTCATTCCTCATCCCACTAATTCAAAACCCAACACACCCCATAGCTGCTGACCACGATAAAACCTAATGGTCATCACTAGGGTCATGTAAATGTTTCCCCTTTCATGCATGCTTTCTTTAAAATGCTCAACATCACTAATGATCAGGGAAATGCAAATCAAAACCACAATGCAATACCACCTTACTCCTGCAAGGATGGCCACCATCAAAAAATCAAAAAATAATAGGTGTTGGTGTGGATGGAGTGAACAGGGAACATTTCTACACTGCTGGTGGGGATGTAAACTAGTACAGCCAGTATGGAAGACAGTGTGGAGATTCCTTAAAGAACTAAAAGTAGAACTACCATTTGATCCAGAAATCCCACTACTGGGTATCTACCTAGAGGAAAAGAGGTCATTCTACGAAAAAGATACTTGCACACACATGTTTATAGCAGCACAATTCACAATTGCAAAAATGTGGAACCAACCCAAATGCCCATCAATAAATAAACTGGTATATATATATATATATATATACACACATATATATATTATGGAATACTACTCAGCCATAAAAAGGAATAAATTAATGGCATTTGCAGCATCCTGGATGGAACTGGAGACTATTATTCTAAGTGAAGTAACTCAGGAAGGGAAAACCAAACGTCGTATGTTCTCACTCATAACTGGGAGCTAAGCTATGAGGCTGTAAAGGCATAAGAATGACACAATAGACTCTGGGGACTCAGGGGGAAAGGGTGCGAAGGGGGTTGAGGGATAAGAGTCTACAGATTGGGTTCAATGTATACTACTTGGGTGGTGGGTGCACCAAAACCAAAATCTCACAAATCACCACATCCCACATCTGTGGGATCAACTGCCTGGAAGCCTAAGGAGGGATGGACTAGAGGGAGAGATCATGGGGCCTTTCAGGAAATTCACCAGGGGGAATCTACTGGGGGACCAGTGTGAGCAGTAGAGCCCAGTGGGAAGGCGAGGCAGGCCCAGAGGCTCCAGGTCTGGCGTGACACTGTTCCTGATGCTCCTGGATTCAGCACCACCTCTCCCCTCCAGGGCCTGGGTGTTCTGGGACAGAGAGCACAGGGGAAAGAACTCTGATAGGAAATCCCTTTGTAGAGAGGCTTATAGGGAATAGAAGGTGTTTTTCCACAGGCCAGAGAGGAAGATGAGTGGTTCAGAGGGGAGAGAAATTGTGTGCCGGGGGTGATGTGGAGGTCACCAGCAAACCAACAGAATCCACCCAGCACCAGAGCAGAAGAGCTGCACATGGAAGCTCTGGCTCTGTGTCCTGAACATTCTATCCCTGATGCATCCCCTCCCCGACTACCCCCAGTTCAAGATGACTAATGGGAATAATGGTGGGGGAATCACAAGAATATCCAGATGTAGAGTATAAAGATTTTAGCTTCCCTGTAATTATGATTTATCATTCCTCTTTTT
Organism: Homo sapiens; assembly: GCF_000001405.40. NCBI lineage: Eukaryota > Metazoa > Chordata > Mammalia > Primates > Hominidae > Homo > Homo sapiens. The sequence continues at coordinate 177,585,152 of NC_000005.10, read as the reverse complement.
TCTCTCCTCCCTCCTTCATCCTTGCTTTCTTCCTTCCTCCTCCTTCTTTCTCTGTCTCTCATTCACTCTTTCTTCTTCTACCTTATCTTTCTCTTTCCCCCCTCTCTTCTGCCTTTTTCCTCCATATGCTCTCCTTTCTCTTTTCTTTGTCTCTCTTCCCTTTCTGTCACTAAACATCCACTGCCCACTCAAGTTGTTCCTGGATCTGTGTGAGGCTTGGTGGAGCACAGAATTTGTGGCAGAATCTCTCCCAGCTATAAGCCCCTGCAGAACATGCTTGTAAATGGACAATTGTAACTGAACACAGTTAACACTGTGATAGAGGGATTTACAAGGCCCAAGGAGCCCAGGAGATGAAACACTTGAGACAGTACTGCTGGACGTGGGTCTTGAGGGGTGTATAGGAAGTAGGTGGATGAGAGGGCAGGAATGGAGGTTGGAGGCATCCTTCAGAAGGGGCACAGCAGTTAGTAGAAGCCTACCAGAGTCCTGGGGGAGCCACAGGTGGAGTGAATGATGGAGCTCCCCAGTGTTGCCACAGATGGCATCCAAGTTCGGTGTCTTGGCAGCCAGTGCAGAATGAGATCACTCCCAAGTGAGAGGATCCCAGAGTAGTGGACCCACTGCTCTTATCTTACATTCCCAGCCGCGTTGTCTTATTCCATTTGTGTTACCATAAAGGAATGCCTGAGCCTGGGTAATTTATAAGGAAAAGAAGTCCATTTGGCTCATGGTTCTGCAGGCTGCACAAGAAGCGTGGCACCAGCAACTGTTTCTGGTGAGGGCCTCAGGAAGCTTCCACTCACGGTGGAAGGGAAAGGAAAGCAGGCATCACATGGCAAGAGGAAGGAAACAATAGAAAGAGGAGCTGTCAGACTCCTTTTTAAAAAATATTTATTTATTTTTATTATTTTTGAGACAGAGTCTCACTCTGTCGCCCATGCTGAAGTGCAATGGCATGATCTTGGCTCACTGCAATCTCCTCTTCCCAGGTTCAAGCTATTCTCCTGACTCAGCCTCCTGAGTAGTTGGGACTACAGGCTCCCTCCACCATGCCCAGCTAATTTTTGTATTTTTTTTAGTAGAGATGGGGCGTCACCATGTAGGCCAGGCTGGTCTCGAACTCGTGATCTCAAGTGATCCACCTGCCTTGGCCTCCCAAAGTGCTTGGATTACAGGCGTGAGCCACCACACCTGGCCCAGGCTCTTTCAATAAGCAGTTCTCCTGCGAACTAAGAGTGAGAACTCACTCACTCTCTCTAGAATGGCACCAAACCATTCATTATGGATCCAATCCCACAATACAAATACAATACAAACACCTGCTGCCAGGCCCCACCTACAACACTGGGGATCAAATTTCAACATGGGATTTGAAGGGGACAGATATCCAAACTATATCATGTGTCATCGCTCAGAAACAGATTGTTCTATCAGCACAATACATTTGCTACTTGGAAAACCACATCACCCTTCCTAATGTCTGGGTTACGGGCTTGGCAATATTGCTGTGAAGCCACTGGTGCACTATCTCCCTACATGCATGTCACTGCAAGCCCTAAGAATTTTTCCTTTTTATCCTTTAGGGTATTTCTATGGGCAGTCTGACCACTGGACCACTGCCATGGCACAGTGCAATACACAGTGTGATCTGCGGGCCAGCCCTGGTCTCTCAAGTTTGTTACAGGTCTGCAACAAGGTAAGTATAGAAATTTGAACCAGGTTCAGTGGCTCATGCCTGCAGTACAGCACTTCAGGAGGTTGAGGCAGATTCCTTGAGCCCAGAAGCTTGAAAGCAGCCTGGGCAACACAGAAAAATCCCATCTCTACAGAAAAAAAAAAAAAATTAGCTAGGCATGGTGGCATGTGCCTGTAGTCCCAGCTACTGAGGAGGCTGAGGTAGGAGGATCTCCTGAGCCTGGGAGATCGAACCTGCAGTATGCCATGATCGCTCCACTGCACTCCAGCATGAGCACTTTGTCTCAAGAAAGAAAAGGGGAGGGGAGGGGAGAGGAGATTGGGAGTAATTGTTTAGGATTTTTATTTTTTTAAATTGAGACAGAGTCAAATTGGGAGTAATTGTTTAGGAATTTTTTTTTTCTTTTGAGATGGAGTCTTGCTCTGTCGCCCAGGTTGGAGTGCAATGGTGCGATCTCGGCTCACTGCAAGCTCCACCTCCCAGGTTCACGCCATTCTCCTGCCTCAGCCTCCCAAGTAGCTGGGACTGTAGGCGCCCACCACCTCGCCCGGCTAATTTTTTGTATTTTTAATAGAGACGGGGTTTGACCGTGTTAGCCAGGATGGTCTCAATCTCCTGACCTCGTGATCCGCTCTCCTCGTCCTCCCAAAGTGCTAGGATTATAGGCGTGAGCCACCATGCCCGGCCTTGTTTAGGAAATTTTTATAGACATTTGACATTGGTATAACATCCAAGCACATGATCTGGTTTTTTTTTTTTAGTTTAATTTAACTTAATTTTTTTTTTTTTTTTTTTTTTTTGGAGACAGGGTCTCGCTCTTTCTCCAGGCTGGAGTGCACTGGCATGAGCTCAGCTCACTGCACCCTCCACCTCCCAGGTTCAAGCCATTCTCCTGTCTCAGTCTCCCAAGTAGCTACCATGCCCGACTAATTTTTGTATTTTTTGGTGGAGACAGGGTTTCTCCATATTGGCCAGGCTGGTCTTGAACTCTTGACCTCAAGTGATCAGCCCACCTTGGCCTCTCAAAGTGCTGGGATTACAGGTGTGAGCCACCTTGCTGGCATTTTTTTTTAAACTTAAGTTCTGGGATACATATGCAGGATTATGCAGGTTTGTTACATAGGTAAACATGTCCCATGGTGGTTTACTGCACCTATTAACCCTAGGTATTAAGCCCTGCATGCATTAGTTACCTTTCCCTGAGGCTCGCTCTCCCCACTCCCCTGCCCCGATCAGTTTTATTTTTTATTGGATTTTACAAAAATACTCATTTGTGAGGGGTTGGGAATTTAAACAACAACAATGGCCGGGCACGGTGGCTCACACCTGTGATCCCAGCAGTTTGGAAGGCCGAGGCGGGCGGATCACGAGGTCAGGAGATCGAGACTATCCTGTCTAACACGGTGAAACCCCGTCTCTACCAAAAATACAAAAATTAGCCGGGCATGGTGACAGGTGCCTGTAATCCCAGCCACTCAGGAGGCTGAGGCAGAAGAATCCCTTGAAGCCAGGAGGCAGAGGTTGCAGTGAGCCGAGATCATGCCACCGTGCTCCAGCCTAGGTGACAGAGCGAGACTCCATCTCAAAAAAAAAAAAAAAACCTCCACACCCCCACCCCGCAACCCCACACACAGGTTCTTGATACAGTTGATAGTACCAGTCTAGAATGGTTCAGAACCATGGACAGCACCTCAATCTCCCTCCAAAACCCTATTGTCATTGCCTCTGCCTGTTTCCAGCTCCAGTGAATGCCACTGGTGAGCTCCTAGCTACCAAATCCTATGGGTGCTTTTAAGCACGTGCCTTAATTGACGTTTCTAAAGCGTTTAACTTTTATCAACATCTGCATCTGTCATTTTTGTTTAAAAATAATTCCCAATGAAATAATAGAAAACGTTCCCCTAGGATTATTAAGATGCCATACCACTAGAATGAGCGGATGGTTTTTTGTAGCTGAAACATATTATTAATCTTAAGACATTGCATTAACAGTTTTCATGTACTTTTTAGTGGGTTCTTGGAGGCAGGAGACAGGTTTCATTCAATTTTGTATCCAACATGTATCATAAGGCCTGGCCCAGAGTTTGTGCGAGTAAATGCCTGCCACTTATCAGCTGAATGACCTTGGACAAAATATTACTAAACTTCTTTTTGATGCTGTTTCCCAAGTTATAAAATTATTATAATAATAAAGTCTATCTCATGCCATTATATTTAAGATGAAATTAGTTAATACCCTTAAAAGTGCTTAGAACAGTGCCTAAAACAGAAGAATAAAAGATATTATCATTTTAAGCCAGCCACGGTGGCTCACACCTGTAATCCCAGCACTGTGGGAGGCCAAGGTGGGCAGATCACCTGAGGTCAGGAGTTCAAGACCAGCCTGGCCAACATGGTGAAACCCCATCTCTAATAAAAACACAAAAATTAACTGGACCTGGTGGTGGGCACCTGTAATCCCAGCTACTCAGGAAGCTGAGGCAGGAGAATCACTTGAACCCAGGAGGCAGAGATGGCACCACTGCACTCCAGCCTGGGTGACACAGTGAGACTCTGTCTCAAAAATAAATAAATAAATAAATATATATATATATGAACAAATAAAATAAAACCTGGGAAATTTGACTCAACTTTTGGCATTCTTTTCTCTGCACCAGATACTTTTCTCCAGATAAAGGAAAGACCCCATACAAAGACCCCATACAAAGGGGCCTCTGTCTTTAAAGAGCTGGCCATATCAGGGGGAGTATGTTCATTCTTATGGCTTCTGTAACAAATTGACACAAATTAATATGGCTTTTCCATTATTCTCTCACAGTTCCAGAGGTCAGAAGTCCAAAATCAAGGTGACAGCAGGGCTGTGTTCCCTCCAGAGGTTCTAGGGGAGAATCCTTCCTTGCTTCTCCCAGCTTCTGGTGGCTCCAGACATTCCTTGGCTTGTGGCTGCATCATTCTCGTCAGTCTCTGTTTCCATCTTCACACAGATTTCTCCTCTGATGTCTTTTCTACTCTCCTGACTCTTACGAAGATTCATGTCATCTGGATTTAGGGCCCTCCCAGGTAATCCTGGATAATTCACCCCAGAATGATCTCATCTCAAGATCTTTACATTAGTTATATTTGCAGCTAGGTGCAGTGGCTTATGTCTGTAATCCCAGAACTCTTGGAGGCTGAGGTGGGAGGATCATTTGAGCCCAGGAGTTGGAGATCAACCTGGGCAACATAGTGAGATCCAATCTCTACAAAAAAATTTAAAAATTGGCTAGGTGTGGTGATGCATACTTGTAGTCCCAGCTACTTAGAGGCTGAGGTGGGAGGATCACTTGAGCCTAGGAGGTCAAACCTGCAGTGAGCTGTGATCTTGCCACTGCACTCCAGCCTGGGTGACAGAGAGGGACCCTGTCTCAAGAAAAAATTATTATTATATTTGTAAAGACTCTTTTTCCAAATAAGGTCATATTCAAAGGCTCTGGGGGCTGAAGCATAGCCATATCTTTTTTGTAACCACTAGTCAACCCATTACAGAGAGCAAGAAGTGTACCCATGATAAGGTATCCAGTGACATTAAAAAATGGGACAATTGGCTGGGCACGGTGGCTCACACCTGTAATCCCAACACTTTGGGAGGCTGAGGTGGTCAGATCACCTGAGGTGGTCAGATCACCTGAGGTCAGGAGTTCAAGACCAGCCTGACCAACATGGAGAAACCCCATCTCTACTAAAAATACAGAATTAGCCAGGCGTGGTGGTGCATGCCTGTAATCCCAGCTACTCGGGAGGCTGAGGCAGGAGAATCACTTAAACCCGGGAGGCAGAGGTTGCGGTGAGCCAAGATTGCACCATTGCACTCCAGCCTGGGCAAGGAGAGCAAAACTCCGTTAAAAAAAAAAAAAAAAAGCACTTCAAGTGGCTTAACCCTTAATTACATAACATGTTAAGGTTAGAGGCTTTTTCTGAGACAAAGTTGCAGCCTCAGCCTCCCAGGCTCAAGCCATCCTCCCACCTTAGACTCTGGAGTAGCTGGGACTATAGGTGCATGCCACCACGTTCTGGCTAATTTTTTTGTAGGGACAGGGTCTCCCTGCGTTGCCCAGGCTGGTCTCCAACTCCTGGGCTCAAGCCATCCTCCCACCTTGGCCTCCTAAAGAGCTGGGATTACAGGTGGGGGCTACCATGCCTGGCCAAGATAGAGGCTTTTTTTTTTTTTTTTTTTGAGAGTCTCTCTGTCACCCAGGCTGGAGTGCAGTGGCGTGATCTCGGCTCACTGCAACCTCTGCCACCAAGGTTCAAGCGATTCTCCGGCCTCAGCCTCCTGAGTAGCTGGGACTGCAGCCGCCTGCCACCACGCCTGACTAATTTTTGTACTTTTAGTAGAAACAGGGTTTCACCATGTTGGCCAGGCTGGTCTCTAACTCCTGACCTCAGCTGATCCACCACCTCGGCCTCCCAAAGTGCTGAGATTACAGGAGAGAGCCACCGTGCCCGGCCAATAGAGGCTTTGAAAAGGAAAGGTTCAGCTGGGCATGGTGACTCATGCCTGTAATCCCAGCACTTTGGGAGGCCAAGGCAGGCGGATCGCCTGAGGTAGGTAGTTCAAGACCAGCCTGACCAACACGGAGAAACCCCGTTTCTACTAAAAATACAAAATTAGCTGGGTGTGGTGGTGCATGCCTGTAATCCCAGCTACTCGGGAGGCTGAGGCAGGAGAATTGCTTGAACCCAGGAGGTGGAGGTTGTGGAGAGCCAAGATCGCGCCATTGCACTCCAGCTTGGGCAACAAGAACGAAACTCGTCTCAATTTAAAAAAAAAGAAAAAAGAAAAGAAGAAAGGTTCAGGAAAATAAATGTGGCTTGATTAGAATGAAGCCAGGAGAGAGGTTAGATCAAACAATGGGTGGAAGTGAATATCCTTACTACAAGTTGGACAACTAGAAGTAGGCTGTCATCAGGCTGCAGACTGGTGGCCTGCAGGCATATTTTGTTTGGCCGGCACAATGTTTACAATTTTTCTTAGATTAGCTGCCAACAGTGACAATGCCACAGTTTCTATATAATAAGAATTTGTGGGATGGGCGCGGTGGTTCACGCCTGTAATCCCATTACTTTGGGAGGCTGAGGTGGGCAGATCATGAGGTCAGGAGATCAAGACCATCCTGGCCAACATGGTGAAACCCCGTCTCTACTAAAAATACAAAAGTTAGCTGGGCGCGGTGGCAGGTGCCTGTAATCCCAGCTACTTGGGAGGCTGAGGCAGGAGAATTGCTTGAACCTGGGAGGCAGAGGTTGCAGTGAACTGAGATTGCACCACTGCACTCCAGCCTGGTGACAGAGCGAGACTCCATCTCAAAAAAAAAAAAAAGAATTTGGGGACATATTGGATAGGAGCTTGAAGCTGTTTTGCCACATTTAACATAAACATGAGAAAATGATAGCCGTGCATATCCTAAGAGGAGTGATGGAGATTATGAGGAAGAAGTGGATCCATCAGTCTGCCCCCCTCAGCTCTGTTGCTAACTTTAAATGTAAAATTAGGCCAGGTGCGGTGGCTTATTCCTATAATTCCAGCACTTTGGGAGGCCAAGGCGGGCAGATCATGAGGTCAGGAGATGGCCAACATGGCGAAACCCCATCTCTACTAAGAATACAAAAATTAGCTGGGTGTGGTGGCAGGCGCCTGTAGTCGCAGCTACTCAGGAGGCTGAGGCACAAGAATCACTTGAACCCAGGAGGTGGAGGTTGCAGTGAGTCGAGATCATGCCACTGCACTCCAGCCTGGCGACGAAGTGAGACTCTGTCTCAAAAAAAAAAAAGTAGAGTTAGCTGGGTGTGGTGTCACATGCCTGTAGGCCTGTAGTCCCAGCTACTTGGGAGGCTGAGGCAGGAGACTCACTTGAGCCCAGGAGGTCGAGACTGCAGTGAGCTATGATTGTGCCACTGCACTCCAGCCTGGGTGACAGAACAAAACCTGTCTTAAAAAAAAAAAAAAGTACATGTGGCCAGGCGCAGTGGCTCATACCTGTAATCCCAACACTTTGGGAGGCTGAGGCAGGTGGATCACCTGAGGTCAGGAGTTCGAGAGCAGCCTGGCCAACATGGTAAAACCCCGTCTCTACTGAAAATACAAAAAATTAGCCGGGGATGGTGACAGGCTCCTGCAATCCCAGCTACTCCGGAGGCTGATGGAGGAGAATCGCTTGAACCCGGGAGGCGGAGTTTGCGGTGAACTAAGACCGCACCACTGCACTCCAGCTTGGGCGACAACAGTGAAACTCTGTTTCAAAAATAAAAATAAAATAAAATAAAACATGTTGAAATGATAATATTTGAAATACATTTGGATAAATAAATTATATTAATAAAATTAACTTCACCTGTTTCTTTTTTTTTTTTTTTTTTGAGACGGAGTCTCACTCTGTCACCCAGGCTGGAGTGCAGTGGCATGATCTCTGCTCGCTGCAAGCTCCGCCTCCTGGGTTCACGCCATTCTCCTGCCTCAGTCTCCTGAGTAGCTGGGACTACAAGTGCCCACCACCACACCCGGCTAATTTTTTGTATTTTTTTTTAGTAGAGACAGGGTTTCCCCGTGTTAGCCAGGATGGTCTCGATCTCCAGACCTCGTGATCCGCCTGCCTTGGCCTCCCAAAGTGCTGGGATTACAGGTGTGAGCCACCGCGCCAGGCACCTGTTTCTTTATACTTTTTTTAATATGGCTACTGGAAAATCTTCAAGTAACATATATGTCTTATTCTGTTCAAGTTGAATAGTGTTGCTCTATCTCTCCAGCCACCTCCTGAGGTCTCTCCTGTGAGCTCTGGGAGCTAGAAAGTTGACAACATGATTAAAATGAGCCTTAAGGCAGCTGGGATAGGGAATAGAGTAAGGGTTTGGATCAGACATGGATTGATTTCCAGGCTCTGAAATTCTCTAGTGGCATGCCTTCCAGTGAGACACTTACCATTTCTGACCTCGTAAATATAGTCTAAATGTTCCGTGGGACACTAAAGGCAAAGCATCGGGCACAACACCTGGCATGTAGTAGGGACTCAATCAGCAGGAGCTACTTTCCATCAGAGAGGGCGCTGCTCCAGTACTTGTTACTGTGCAAATATAACTAGACTGCAAATACAGGTCTAGACATGCCAATTTAATGGAGATCTGAGAGTTAAGAAATCTATTTCCTGGCCGGGCACGGTGGCTCACACCTGTAATACCAGCACTTTGGGAGGCTGAGGCAGGCGGATCGCCTGAGGTCAGGAGTTCGAGACCAGTCTGGTCAACATGGCGAAATCCTGTCTCTACTAAAAAATATAAAAATTAGCTGGGAGTGGTGGCAGACACCTGTAATCCCAGCTACTCGGGAGGCTGAGGCAGGATAATTGCTTGAACCCGGGAAGTGGAGGTTGCAGTGAGCCAAGATCACGCCATTGCACTCGAGCCTGGGTGACAGATTGAGACTCTGTCTCAAAAAGCAAAAAAAAAGAAAAGAAATCTGTTTCCTAAACTGGGGCAGCTTCCAAACCCCACTGGAGTGGGCCCGGGAACATCCTGCAGGAAACTGGGCAACAATTCATGTTTCAAGTTTCATGTGGCCTCAAGTGAACAAAAGATCAGTTCACAGGTGGGGCACTGGCTTTGGCCTGGTGAAAAGCAGGCAAAGATGTGTGAGCTCAGTTAGCTTTGGGAGAGTATCACAGGCAGGCAGGTGACATTTCCCTCTGATATGGCCCACTAAGAATAAGGGGGAGCAGTTTAGGGATCTTAGGCAGAATGACGTCTTCAAGTAGCCACTGAAGGGAATGATATCTGAGAAGAGAAAAATAGGACTGCTGGGTAGGGCTTGTAAAAAGTAAAGTAGAGGTTCTTCTTCAAAGACTTTCCTTCCCATCTAATTAGGAATAAATAGTAACTTCTCTTAGAAGCAAAATTTATTCAAAGACCTGTGCTAACATCTTAAATATCTGCTAGCCGTAATAAAGAAATCAATGTACTTTATGTTTTTAGCTCCCACAATTTAGCCTAAATATTTGCCCCGGCATGCTTATACTGGTCCAAGCAAGCATTAGGTCATAGCCTGTTCCTCTTCCTTATTTGAAGGTGTTTTTACCTTTCTCAGCATTCCACAAGTTACTTCCTCCTTCTTTTGTTCTCCTCTGCCTTTGCCTCTTTTAAAAAGTTCTAAGTTACTAGCCAATCAGGACAAATACAAAATGTGAGGTCCCGTTCCAGCCAATAAAAACCGGACACAGCAGGAAGGTGGACGCGTCAGGTTATAGATGACCCTGTCTCCTTTGTTCAGTGTACTCTCGTGGCAAAAGTGCTGGCGAGTGTATCCTTTCTGCAAAAAGTAAAAATGGCCTTGTTGAAGAAATTAAATTTATGTTCAAGTGCTATTTCTTTACAGCACCGAAAAACCAACATTTCTAACAGGCTGAAGGTCAAGGGAGAGATTGACCTTCTAGATCTCTCCCTTGGAGCTAGATCTGCAATGTGGCCAACCCAAAGGTTGTCTCCAAAGCCAGGAGAATAGAGCAAGCTGGATGAGGAGGTGGGCAGAATCCTGGGGAGGAAGGATGATTAGGGAGAGCTCAAAAGGAGGATGGCAGTCAGGAGAGTGGTGCCATGGCCTCCAGGGGATGTGGGTACATGAAGGCAGCAAGTGTCAGCCTTGGAGCCGTTGAGAGGGCTGATCCAGTGGAGGTGGAAGTTTCCAAGGCCCCCAAGACCTTACTCTCATGCTAATCCAGAGCAGCTTCTTGGCGTGAGGAAAACAGGAGCCAAGAGTGAAAGGGACGTGAGAATGTGTCTTCTGCTTTTTGGAAGGCAGGGAGAAAGGAAGGGCTATACCTGCAGGAGGGCCATATAGTCCATCCTCATTATTGTCATTGTCAAAAATAGGGTTGATAGGCCAGGCGCAGTGGCTCACACCTGTAATCCCAGCACTTTGGGAGGCCAAGGCAGTGGCTCACCTGAGGTCAGGAGTTCGGGACCAGCCTGGCCAACGTGATGAAACCCCGTCTGTACTAAAAATACAAAAATTAGCCAGGTGTGGTGGTGCATGCCTGTAATCCCAGCTACTCAGGAGGCTGAGGCAGGAGAATCACTTGAACCTGGGAAGTGGAGCTTCCCAGGAGCTTCGCCACTGAACTCCAGCATGGGTGACAAGAATGAAACTCTGTCTCAAGAAAAAAAAAAAAAAAAGGTTGATAGGTCATTTATATTCTTAGGCAGAAAATGTAGCAGAAACAGGATTTAAGATAACAGAAGAGAAAATAGAAGAAGCCAGGTCCTCAAAAAGGCGGGAGGAAGTGGAATCAGAACCCAGGTGGAGAGATTTATCTAGGATGGAAGGGAGTCCTTGACACCTGGGCCCGAAGGGACACAGAAAGAGAGGAGTCTGCGTCTTCTGTTCATGGCTCCACAGACATGCTGTGAAGAATCTGCTACACTGAGGAAGTCTGTAGGCAGGGACTGGGGTGTCCCACCTCTATTCTTGCCACTTTAGGAAAGAATGAGGATAGGGAATTTTTTTTTTTTTGAGACAGAGTCTTGCTCTATCACCCAGGCTGGAGTGCAGTGGTGAGATTTCGGCTCCCTGCAACTTCTGCCTCCAAGGCTCAAGCGATTCTCATGCCTCAGCCTCCCGAGTAGCTGGAAAAATAGGCATGAACCATCATGCCTGGCTAATTTTTGTATTTCTTGTAGAGATGGGGTTTAGCCATGTTGCCTAGGCTGGTATCAAACTCCCAGGCTCAAGTGATCGGCCGATCTCAGCCTCCCAAAGTGTTGGGATTACAAGCATGAGCCACTGTTCCCAGCTGGATGGGGAAAACTAAGAACCTGAAGGGAATCAGAACATGCCACCCAAAATATGCCACTTTGAGATATCAATTATTTTAAGCTAAAGGCAATTGAGACAAAGCAGATGCAGGAAGCGCTCTTTGACCTCCCACTTTCTACCTAAAAGAAGGGCATAAATTTCCCAAGAGAAAGGTGCCCTTCTTTTTTTTTTTTTTTTTTTTTTGAGATGGAGTCTCGCTCTGTCGTCCAGGCCCAAGTGCAGTGGCGCAATCTCGGCTCACTGCAAGCTCCGCCTCCCGGGTTCACGTCATTCTCCTGCCTCAGCCTCCTGAGTAGCTGGGACTACAGGCACCTGCCACCACGCCCGACTAATTGTTTGTATTTTTAGTAGAGATGGGTTTTCACCGTGTTAGCCAGGATGGTCTTGATCTCCTGACCTCGTGATCTGCCTGCCTTGGCCTCCCAAAGTGCTGGGATTACAGGCGTGAGCCACCGCGCCCAGCCGAAAGGTGCCCTTCTAATAACAGGAAGTGAAGAACATTATAATCACTGGAGATGAGGAGTCGATGCTGAAATGAATCTGTACAAAGCAAGCTTTATTCAAATAGCCCTTATCAAGCTGAGCACAGTAGCTTAACCAGTAATCCCAGCACTTTGGGAGGCTGAGGTGGGTGGATTACTTGAGGCCAGGAGTTTGAGACCAACCTGGGCAACATGGCAAAACGCCATCTCTACAAAAAAATTAGCCGGGCGTGGTGGCATGCACCTGTAGTCCCAGGTACCCAGGAGGCTGAAGTGGAAGGATCACTTGAGCCCAGGAGGTCAAGGCTGCAGTGGGCCGTGATCACACCACTGCACTCCAGCCTGGATGGCAGAGTGAGACTCTGTCTCAAAAAATAATAATAGCCCTATTAGCTGGGCACAGTGGCACACATCTATAGTCCTAGCCACACAGAAGACAGAGGTGGGAGGATCACTTGAGTCTAGGAGTTCAAGACCAGCCTGGGCAACATAGAAAGACCCTGTCTCTTAAAAAGAAAAGAAAAGAATTCATCTTTCATTAGCTTCCCCCATATATTCCTAGTCACTTTCCCACAATTTTTCAGTCCCAGCTCAAGTCCCTTTTTTCTTTGTCTTGTCACATGTCCACAATTTATCATTCATTGTTAAAATGGTTTATAAGCTGTTTCTTTGGGTCTTTATTTCTTTTTTAATTTACTTTTCTTTTTAATTTAATTAGAGACAGGGTCTCACTGTGTTGCCCAGGCTGGTCCCAAACTCCTGGGCTCAAGTGATCTTCCTGCCCTGGCCTCCCAAAGTGCTGGGATTACAGGCATAAGCCACTGTACATGGCCTGGGTCTTCATTTCTTTTCTAGGAAGGTGTCCATGTACACATAAAAATTAAAATTTTAACATCTAAATGTGCATGCTTTCCCCCGCTAATCTTCTTAGGTCAGTTCAATTCACAGAACCTAAGGGGGTAGAAGAGAAGTCAAGAAGTACCACTGAGGCAACTACTAAAGTGCACCCCACTAATTTAATGTGCTTTTTATTCTTTTTTTACTTTTAAAACAATGAACAATTTTAAAACAAAGATCAATTTTAAAAGATACTATTGAAATTCAATAAAACAACTTCATATATCAATTAAAATATGCACTTTCCCACTGTTTTACATGCTAAATACAAATAAATGTGGTCACGTACAGGATTATAGAAATGAAATAAATTCTGTTTCTTTGTCTTTAAAATCATCATACAGGCGAGGAGTGGTGGCTCTTGCCTCCAATCCCAGCACTTTGGAAGGCCGAGGCGGGAGGATTGCTTGAGCCCAGGAGTTCAAGTCCAGCCCGGGCAACAAAGAGAGACCTTGTCTCTACAAAAAATAAAAAAATTAGCCAGGCATGGTAATACACAGCTGTAGTCTCAGCTACTCAGGAGGCTGCATTGGGAGGATCGCTTGAGCCTAGAAGGTCGAGGCTGCAGTGAGCAGTGATCATGCCACTGCACTCCAGCCCGGGTTAGAGAGTGAGACCCTGTCTTGAAAAATAAAAAATAAAAAAATTAACAAATAAAAACATAATTTAAAAAGGAAAGATCATTATACTATCATTTTTTATTCTGAATCTTTAAACACAAGAATATGTACTGTCAGGGGGTTGGAGCCACAAACTGCCCTTGACTATAACTCAAACAATTCCAAACAGCTCCAATTTTACTTTTTTTTTTCGAGATCAAGTCTCACTCTGTTGTCCAGGCTGGAGTACAGTGATGCAATCTTGGCTCACTGCAACCTCCACCTCCGGGTTCAAGCAATTCTCCTGCCTCAGCCTCCCGAGTAGCTGGAATTACAGGCCTGCGCCACCACACCTGGCTGATTTTTGTATTTTTAGTAGACATGGGGTTTCACCATCTTGGCCAGGCTGGTCTTGAACTCCTGACCTCATGATCCATCTGCCTGGGACTCCCAAAATACTGGGATTACAAGTGTGAGCCACTGCACCTGGCCATATATATATATTTTTTTTTTCGAGACAGAGTCTTGTGTCTTGCTCTGTCACCCAGGCTGTAGTGCAGTGGCATGATCTCAGCTCATTGCAGCCTCCGCCTCCCAGGTTCCAGCGATTCTCCTGCCTCAGCCTCCCAGGTAGCTGGGATTACCGGTGCCCACCACCACTCCCGGCTAATTTTTTGTATTTTTAGTAGAGACGGGGTTTCACCATGTCGCCCACCTCAGCCTCCCAAAGTGCTGGGATTACAGGTGTGAGCCACCCCGCCCAGCCAATTTTACTCTTGAAATGAATGTTTCTCTGTTTTCATTTCAGAAAGCCGTTTGGGGGAGTTGGGGAGGAGACAACTGTATGACTGGGAGTTCTCACAATTAATTTCCACATAGAACACAATGTTTATTAAAGGGTAAATAAAAAATAATAATTTGAAGCATATATGTATATTATTAAAACTTATCAGCCAGGCATGGTGGCTGATGCCTGTAATCCCAGCACTTTGGGAGGCCTAGGCGGGAGGATCACCTGAGGTCAGGAGTTCAAGACCAGACTGGCCAACACAGTGAAACCCCATCTCTACTAGAAACACAAAAATTAGCCGGGCATGGTGGTGTGTGCATGTAATCCCAGCTACTCAGGAGGCTTAGGCAGGAGAATTGCTTGAACCCGGGAGGCAGAGGTTGCAGTAAGCCAAGATCATGCCACTGTACTCCAGCCTGGGCGATACAGTGAGACCCAGTCTCAAATAAAAAACAAACAAACAAACAAAAACTTATCAGTAACCCCAGCAATTGTTTATATTAATAACTTAGACCAACAGAAGCTGGTAAAATACTTCCCTGGGGAGTGTTTCATCAGTGACACTACTTAGAATTACCAGCACTTGGTGATGATAAAAAAAATGCAAACCAATTTTTAGTCAGTGTTATTGTTTTTAAATTCTCTGCAGACACATCCCTGACTGCCTGTACGCTGCACAGAAGCCTCACTTCCTGTCCTTGGTCAGCTGCCACCATCTTTACAGAGGAAAGAGCATGTGCAAAGGCCCTGAGGTGGGAGTATGGAGACCAAGGAAGGCAAGTGCCTGGGATACAGTGAGAAAGGGGAAAGGAAGAGCTCAGGAGGAGGAGGGCATCCGGTAAGGATTCTGGCTTTCACTCTAGGTGATATGCAGGTCTAGCTAACTCCAATTTTCACAGTCTGATGAATAATTGTCCAACAATTAATAATTGTCCAATAATGATAATATGATTGGCATGCTCCTGGGTGCATCTGAGTAGCTGGACAGCCAGAGGACTCGCCCCTGGGAGATAAAGGTATCACTGATATATGGGATATCATTTGCCAGATGAGACAGTGAGAAAATGCCTCTTCCAAGATCCAGGCTCTCTGAAGAGCTATCTTATCTGTGAAAATCCTCAGCACTACAAGGTGACCTCCAAGCAAGGATTTTTAGAGAGAGGTTGTCACTTTGTAAATAGCTGTGAAGATTTATCTGCAGAGGAAAAAGTAACCAGGTTAGTTTCTTCCCATCTCCCCAAGCAATGCCCCTCTTCTGGGTCAGAAAATGAGGGAAGGCTTTGAAATGGGGGAAAGGAAGCTACTCCCAAACTTAAGGCTGCAAATGCCGTCCAGCCCAGCATCAGAGAACCTCTGGAGGCTGTCACAGGGAAGAACTGCTTTTCCTTTCAAGGAGACAGCCAAGGCAAGCCACATCCCCTGGGCCCTACTACTGTTTTCTCCCTCCCCAGAGCCACTGAGTGGCAGAAATGAAGAGGACAGAGCCCCAGCCTCCCAAGGGCACTCCAGCTGCACCAGAAAAGCACCCCCACCACCCCACCCCGCTGCCCTGCTGGACCTCTGACCACACCGTGGGGCCCCAGCAGCAAAAGCAGCCAGAGAAAAACAGAGTGCTTCCGGGGCTTCTCCAAGCTTTCCAGGGTTCTATCCTGCAAAATCCTCACCCAACTGGCCGGGCACCTGAGTTGCAGACAGTGCAGGGAGGTGAGGGAAAAAAGACATTCTTGGAATAGTAAATAGGGCTCCAGGCCAATTAATATGAACTTTTTTTTGTTTTTTTTTGAGACGGAGTCTCGCTCTGTCGCCCAGGCTGGAGTGTAGTGGCACGATCTTGGCTCACTGCAAGCTCTGCCTCCCGGATTCACGCCATTCTTCTGCCTCAGCCTCCCAAGTAGCTGGGACTACAGGCGCCCACCACCACGCGTGGCTAATTTTTAGTATCTTTAGTAGAGATGGGGTTTCACCATGTTAGCCCAGACAGTCTCGATCTCCTGACCCTGTGACCCGCCCGCCTCGGCCTCCCAAAATGCTGGGGTTACAGGCATGAGTCACCGCACCTGGCCTGATGTGCCTCTTTCTCCTGGCCCTGAAGATGTCCCTTACTTCCTTTGAAGCTGAACAATGCATCTACATTTTGTATCATATTTTGTGTCTGGAGTGGAAGGACTCCTCTTCCCCTCTGCCTTGGCTGGAGACAACCTCCCTTGGGTAGCCAGCCTCCAAGGTGGCCTCGATGACTCATATTTCCTAGTGTTCACGCTCCTGTGTTGTCCCCCTTCACACCAAAGAGGGTCAGTCTGTGTAACCAATAGGATGCGGAGAGGCCCACACGGTGAGGACAGGGGCCTCCCACCAGCAGCCTGACTGCACCCTCATGGGTGTGGCTCCTCCAGCCCCATCGAGCCTGCAGATGGCTGCAGCCCCTAGTGACATCTTTCTTTTTTTTTTTTTTTTTTTCAAGATGGAGTTTCTGCTCTGTCACCCAGGCTGGAGTGCTGTGGTGCGATCTCGGCTCACTGCAACCTCTGTCTCCCAGGTTCATGCAATTCTCCTGCCTCAGCCTCCCGAGTAGCTGGGATCACAGGTACCCACCACCACACCCAGCTAATTTTTGTATTTTTAGTAGAGACAGGGTTTCACCATGTTGGCTAGGCTGGTCTTAAACTCCTGACCTCAAGTGATCCACCCGCCTTGGCTTCCCAAAGTGCTGGAATTACAGGCATGAGCCACTGCACCCAACCTTCGAGTGACATCTTGCCCTCACCTTTCATGAGAGATGCTGAGTCAATCCACCACCTAGCTAGGCCACTCCCAAATTCCCAGCCTGAAGAAACTACATGAAATAATAAATGCTTATTTTTGTTTTAAGCCACACTAAGTTTTGGTGTAATTTGTTACTTACCTCTTCTCTCCAATTAAGTATCCTTCAATAAACCACCCCCACACCTTTATCCAGACCCCCTGTCATGGGCACTCTGGGTGTGAGATCCTATGTGAGGTCCCCATTCCCTGCAGATGCTCCTGGGGTGGGCTTCAAGCCTATTGGAGTTCACGTGCCTTGCAGACCATGAGAGCTCTTGTCTCCTGGCCCAACTCTAAGCCAAGAGATATCAGTGGGACCAGGAAGTGAGTGGGTTAGGTGACCAGCAGATTTCCCATCTGCACTCTGCCCTAATCAGAATGACTTCCTGCCGGACCACGCATTTTCAGATGTGTAGGTGAGACCCTTCTTAATGTCCAGTGATGAGGACTCATTGTTCCTATTTGGTTTGCCTATTTCAGCAGGCGCTCAGAAAAGGCTATGCATCAGAAGCATGGATGTGGAGAGCCATTTCAGAACGGAAACTACTGAAACCCTCAGTTACATTATGACATCTATTAGAAAATTCACTCTGGGGCGGTGCATGGCAGGGCTGGAAGGTATAAATGTCTGGAGGCAGGGGGCCCTGAGATAAGGCTGTTATTGTCCAACAGAGCAGTGACGACTTCGCTATCTTTCCGTAATAAGTCATTTTGTTAGCTGACCTTTTTTCTTTCTTTCTTTTTTTTTTTTTTTTTTTTTTTTTTTGATGAAGTCTTGCTCTTGTCGCCCAGGCTGGAGTGCAATGGCACGATTTCAGCTCACTGCAACCTCCACCTCCTGGGTTCAAGCAATTCTTCTGCCTCAGCTTCCCAAAATGCTGGGATTACAGCATGAGCCACTGCACACAGCCTTGTTAGCTGACTTCTGACGGGCAGGCTGCATTAGTTATTGGAGGCACTGAGAACCACACACTGCATTTCTATTTTTTGAGAGGGAGTCTCACTCTGTTGCCCAGGCTGGAGTGCAGTGGTGGGATCTCGGCTCACTGTAACCTCCACCTCCCAGATTCAAGTCATTCTCCTGCCTCAGCCTCCTGAGTAGCTGGGATTACAGGCATGAGCCACTGTGCCTGCCCACATACCACATTTCAAGATGCCCTGGACTTTAACTGTCTGTGCCAGGCTCTTGTTAGGGTGCTCTTGTTTTTGGACACCCTACTGTATGTGCCAGGCACTGTGCTAACGTCTCCATTTATATCTCACAATGCCATAAGACACTCTTTTTGTTTGTTTGTTTTTCAGATGGTGTCTCACTCTGTTGCCCAGGCAGGAGTGCAGTGAAGTAATCTTGGCTCACTGCACTCTCCACCTCCC